>NC_000015.10:87956429-88107944 GCF_000001405.40 Homo sapiens | reverse complement strand
TTGGGGTCCTCTACTTGCCTGCCATTGGGATATCTCTGCTTTCTGCCCCTCTCCCGCTTGTTGGTCTCTTGGATGCCCAGGTAGTGACCACTTCCAGTTTGGCTCTCCCACTGCTGACTGGGACTTAGTGATGATAGTACATTCTATTTGGTGGGTTCAGGTCTGAGATCGTGTGATATTTTTATGTTGCTATTCCCTGCAGAGGATTTCACACACAGGCAGGCTTTATCCATTCTTCCCAATTAGACACATCTGTGTGCAAATGGATAGGCCTTGGGCTCCTGTCTCTCACTGCTCTTGAGAGACCAGGAATGGGCCACAATTGGGCCAGGGAGGGCTTTCAGAACAGGGAGCCTGTGAAGTTTGGAGACAGAGTCCTGGTGTGGATGGGGGTGCTACCATGACCTCTTCAGTTCTTCTAGACCAACAGAAGCTCTTGAAACTGTGCATTGAGCCTAGGAAGGGACATGCCTTTATTTTGCACTTCATAGATTTTCTTTTTGAGACGTGGTTTCACTCTGTCACCCAGGCTGGAGTGCAGTAATGTGATCACAGCTCTTTGTAGCCTCCAACTCCTGGGCTCAAGTGATCCTCTCACTTTAGTCTCCTGAGTAGCTGGGACTACAGGCACATGCTGCCCTGCCTGGCTAATTTTTGTAGTTTTTGTAGAGACAGGGTTTTGCCATGTTGCCCAGCCTGGTCCTGAACTCCTGAGCTCAAACGATCTGCTCACCTCAGCCTCCCAAAGAGCTGGGATTACACATGTGAGCACTGCACCTGGCCTGTGGACTTATTTTTATAAAAGGAATATATATTCATTATATAAAAATCTAGAAAATATTGTATAAAAAATTAGTGGTAATCTTATTATTCAGAAATGACCACTGTTAGCATCATATGTGTGAATACATATATGTAAATGTATATATGTACATATGCACATATATCTATGTAACTGTAGATCTGTACCTGAGTATCTATATTCCCATACTTTTTTTTTTTTTTACTTTTTGAGACAGAGTCTTGCTCTGTCTCCCAGGTTGGAGTGCAGTGGTGCGATCTCAGCTCACTGCAACCTCCACCTCCCAGGTTCAAGCGATTCTCCTGCCTCAGCCTCCTGAATAGCTGGGATTACAGGCACCCACCACCATGCCCAGCTAATTGTTTTGTATTTTTAGTAGAGACAGGGTTTCACCATGTTGGTCAGGCTGGTCTCGAACTCCTGACCTCATGATCCGTTCCCCCTTGGCCTCCCAAAGTGCTGGGATTACAGGCATGAGCCACATGCCTGGCCCATTCTCATACATATTTTAAATGTACACTTAAGTGAAAATGGTCTTGAGCAATTCAAACAGTGTTTGACCTATTTTTTTCACACAACACTCTTTCTTAAGCATCCTTCCGTGTCATTCAGTAACCCTGTCTCTAGCTTTTCCATTACTCTGCAAAGCTCATTTTCCTTTCTTACATTCTTTCTTTTCACGTTGCTTGTGTATTATACCATTTCACTTGGTTAATTCAGAATCTAATCCATTTGCCCCAAGGCTGCATGGCAAAAGGGCAAAGTATGCATTTATAAAATGTGAATGAGCATAAGGAAGACACAGGCCAGGGTTGCTCAGCTCCTTGGCCCAGTAAAGCTCCCTCTGTGCATGTTTTCAGCTCGGCTTTGTTCAGGGAGCCTCTGGTAGGGGAACTTGGCAGAAGCCAAGCCAACCTTGTCCTGCCGGCCGCTGTAGCAGCCGCTGCATCCATTAGCAATTATGGGTCATCCACTGTGGGGCATTTCAGAGGCCTGAGGGACACAGCTTTGCCATGAGCAGAAACCACTGGGTAAGCCGGAATGGACCAATGAAAATATGTAATCTTGACAACAGAATCCTTGAACATACGCACACATACACACCTACAAATGCTCACAGAGTGCAATGGAGGCAGCGGAAAGCAGTGACTACGGGTGAACACTCTGGGCTAAGACTGGAATTGGAGTCCTAGACTTGAGACTTTCTTTTTGATTTGGGTGAGTCACTTAAACTTTCTGAACTTCTGCTGTCCTCATCTGTAAACGTGAATGGTGCTCACGTGAGAAGGTATTGAGAGATTTGACTGGGATTACATATGGAAAGCATTTGGCACAGGGACTCCACGTGGTCCATGCTCAGGAAGTGGCCACCACTGGCTTAGTTTTAGGGATCTCAGAGGTGGGGGAAAGGCAGTGCTTCTGGTGTGGGGGTGTGTGTGTGTGTGTATTTCCACTCATGAGGTACCTTTCCTTTGATGAACATATAATACTTTATGGAGTTGTTTTTATTTAATGTCTGTGTGAAGCACAAGGAAAAGATATAGCCCTGCTGGTAAATCCAGACCCAGAGAAGCAGCGTATGTGGAACTAGTGGAGCGTGTACTACACCAATAGTAGGGAGATGCAGTTCTTCTCCTGCCTCTGGGACTGCATGGCTGTGTGGCCTTAGCTAGTCACTTGTTCTTTCTGATCCTCTCTTCTCATTACTTGGAATAAGCCAGCTGATTGGAACACCTCATTGCTAAGGTCTCTTCTAACCCCAACCATCCATGACTCTTTAAGGTAGCAGTGGCTAGGTCCTTGGGCCTTCCTTGAATGTTCCCCTAAATCTGGAGAGTCATCTCTGACACGTTAAATGTAGACAGTCAGGCCAATACTCTCCAGCACCTAGGAGAGCTGCAGATGGTGCCTGGAATTGGCAACGTTAAGAATAAGCTGGGGACGAGGAGCCGTGGTTGACAATCAGGTCCATGGCCTCACTGGGTTGTGCTTTCTCTCTCTAGGTGTAGTTTAGTTTGAATTATTTATGATGATACTTTCTAGTCATTTGGGAAGATGAATGAAGTCTCAGTAATCAGAGCCCATGCACAGCCTCTCTTAACTAAAGTGAATTGAGACATCAATCCATGAAGAGGGTCAGGACTAGAGAATTTCAGGGCTTGCCCCCAGGATGAGCCACAGCCAGCAGAGTCTCATCAAGCAAAGGGACAGCCCAACTCGCAGAAGCAGAGTAAGGGTGCTCTGTCTTCTAAACATAAAAGGACAGGGCAGTAGAGAATTAACTCCTTGACTCTGGCCTCTTAGCCCTTGCAGGTGTATAACTTGTCCCCTCTGTTCTCCTTTCCATCTCCCTGCTGATGCCAATGAGATGTTTAGGAATGCCTTCTCCTCACTGCCCCTGAAGTCATAGTTTCCTTGAGCTCAGCACACAGGATTGGCAGTAGGAAGAGACAAGAGAGCATGAAGATGTGATGGCTCAGGCTGCAGAAAGGACTGGGAGAGGGCAGACAGCCAGGAAGGGGCAGACACACACACAATTTGAAGTAACTGAACTTCAGTGCTGATAGCTGGGAAGTGCCACCATCATGAGGCTGTCAAGGGCAACTCACTGAAAGTCAAAACATTGTGCTGATGACAGAGTGAGAAGCCAGCAGCTGTAATCTTTAGCCTCGTGAAAGACTGTTAAGGAAGCCCACACAGCAAGGAAAAAGTGGCCAAACATTTTCAAGACATGAGCTCAGGTTACAGTCGGAAAGATAAACGTTGTTCTAAGGAAATGTGCATCTTCATTAGAGACAGTAGAATGGATTTCAAAAGGAAGCTGATAAATGTATTTTACTTTAAAACTATAATCTACCCGTGTCCAAACTGGAAGGAATCTCATGCAACAGTTCTAGACATACCTGCATGCAGTGAAAAGTCGTCATCTTTCAACGTCAAAGGTGGATGTGTCCCTGACGTCTCATCCACCTTGTCATATTGAAACCAGTAACTTAGTGTTATTTGTAGTAAAATATTCTATAAAGTGGTATTCTCTGACCCAGGATCAGCTCTGCTTTTGGAGGCAAAGCAGATGTCTTCTTCCAGATGCCTGGCTATTTGGGGGAAGAGGAGGTCCCTTATAGCAAGAATGCTAGACTCAAAAGGAAGTTTAGTAGCACAGAAAACCTAAGTCAGTGGCCAGTTATACAGAAGAATGTCTCTAGTGTAGAATTGTCCATTGGCATCCCATGGAATGGATTCCTGGTTGTGCTGCTCCAGCCACAACCTCTAGGATATATCTAGAGTCTCCTATTGCCCTTTGGCTCTCAAAATGTAAGGAGCTTGTTATCTCTGGTTCAGGTGGGGACTCTGTGGGGGAATGGGAGGCTATTGGAGGGGTTTCCATATGCCTTAACCCCTCGCTTTCATGTGGGGATGGCTTATAGCATGGCACTGAAGAACTGTGCCCTTTCAAGGTCACTGTCTTCTATGAATCCCCTCCCAGAGTCTTACTGAGAGTGGATGACTACCACGGGTAGATGGGATTTTGATCCAAAGAAGGAAAGAAGTTTATATGTTTGAACAATCTAAGGTCTTTTTTGACTGTTAAACCTATGGGCAGTATTGAAGCTGCCCCATCTTTCGCCACTCTGGTGAATCAGAAAAAATCATGTTCTTCTCTGCCTCTCTCATACCAATCAGATATCTGTCCGTCGTTGTGTGTGTGTGATTTATTTTAAGGAATTGGCTCAAGCAGTAGTGAAGCCTGGCAAGTTTGAAATCTGTAGGACAGGCTGGCATTCTGGGAACTCAGGCAGGAGTTGATATTGTGGTCTTGAGGCAGGATTTCTTCTCTGGGATGCCTCAGTTTTTGTTCTTAAGACCTTCAAGTGATTGGATGAGGCCCATTTATATTATCAAGGTAATCTTTACTTAAAACCAACTGATTGTGGGTACTAATCACATGTATAAAATACCTTCACAAGGACACCTAGATTAGGGTTTAGGAAATAAGTCCTACCATCTAGCCAAGTTGACACATAAAACTAACCATCCTTGCCTAACCTCCTTGAGCCTACGTTCGTCATGCATAAAATGGAGTTATAATATCTGTAACACAGGTTATTGTAAGGATTAATGTATTGACATCCATGTAGTTCTTATTCTGTGCCCAGTAGGTACTTTCTATTAGGCTGTTTTTCGTATTACTACCAAAGGCTGTGAGTCATATGGCAGGGACCATCAAAACGCCTTCATCAACTCTGACTGGAGGGTGGTTATACCTTTGTGCAACAGGCCTTTTGAGCTAATAGAGACAGGCCTTGAAGGGTGGTCGGATTCTGGAAGGTGATCCTCTTGGTAGAGTTGGAGCATTTCTTAGTTGATTAGAGGATGCTAATTGAAATTCAGCTATGGTAGAATCTTCTTGGGGAGATTTCGGAGGGGGATGGCACATTCTTTTGGGAATCTTCAAGCCAATTCTTCCTTCCCTGTGTCTTTTTTTAATTATCATGGATATATAATAGTTGTACATACTTATGGGGTACATGTGAAATTTTGATACAAGCACGTAATATGTAATAATCAAATCAGGGTAACTGGGATATCCATCGACTCAACCATTTATCATTTCTTTGTGTTAGGAACATTCCAGTTCCACTCTTTTAGTGATTTTGAAACAGGTAATAAATTATTGTTAACTGTAGACATCCTATTGTGTCTACTGAACACTAGGTCTTATTCCTTCTATGTTTTTGCACACATTAACCATTCCTGCAAGTTTCTTTTTCTTTTGTCCTTTCCAGGTGGCCTAAGTATAGAAAGATTGTGTTTTTTTGGTATAACTAAATATACCAAAAATATGCTTAATTCAAATCTAGCAATTCATGAAGAATTAGAAGCACCTTCTAGAATGCCTCTTATGCTGGGGACATCATCAAGAACCATCTCTTGCTTCTTCTGTCAGCATCTTCTTCCTGTACCATCTATAATGCTGTTGCATAGGACCAGGGGAGATGCTGGCCTGAAGCAGGGGCAGAGGTCACTGTGGTTCTGGGCAGGTCCTTGTGGTTCTGGTGGTTGGGGATACCCCATTTCCGCTTCCTCTTTTCAGCCTATTTTATTTTTTTATTTTATTTTATTATTATTATACTTTAAGTTTTAGGGTACATGTGTACAACGTGCAGGTTTGTTACATATGTATACATGTGCCATTTGGTGTGCTGCACCCATTAACTCGTCATTTAGCATTAGGTAAATCTTCTAATGCTATCCTTCCCCACTCCCCCCACCCCACAACAGTCCCTGGTGTGTGATGTTCCCTTCCTGTGTCCATGTGTTCTCATTGTTCAATTCCCACCTATGAGTGAGAACATGTGGTGTTTGGTTTTTTGTCCTTGTGATAGTTTGCTGAGAATGATGGTTTCCAGTTTCATCCATGTTCCTACAAAGGACACGAACTCATCATTTTTTATGGCTGCATAGTATTCCATGATGTATATGTGCCACATTTTCTTAATCCAGTCTATCATTGTTGGACATTTGGGTTGGTTGCAAGTCTTTGCTATTGTGAATAGTGCCGCGATAAACATACGAGTGCATGTGTCTTTATAGCAGCATGATTTATAATCCTTTGGGTATATACCCAGTAATGGGATGGCTGGGTCAAATGGTATTTCTAGTTCTAGATTCCTGAGGAATCGCCACACTGACTTCCACAATGGTTGAACTAGTTTACAGTCCCACCAACAGTGTAAAAGTGTTCCTATTTCTCCACATCCTTTCCAGCACCTGTTGTTTCCTGACTTTTTAATGATCACCATTCTAACTGGTGTGAGATGGCATCTCATTGTGGTTTTGATTTGCATTTCTCTGATGGCCAGTGATGATGAGCATTTTTTCATGTGTCTTTTGGTTGCATAAATGTCTTCTTTTGAGAAGTGTCTATTCATATCCTTCGCCCACTTTTTGATGGGGTTGTTTGTTTTTTTCTTGTAAATTTGTTTGAGTTCATTATAGATTCTGGATATTAGCCCTTTGTCAGATGAGTAGATTGCAAAAATTTTCTCCCATTCTGTAAGTTGCCTGTTCACTCTGATGGTAGTTTCTTTTGCTGTGCAGCAGCTCTTTAGTTTAATTAGATCCCATTTGTCAATTTTGGCTTTTGTTGCAATTGCTTTTGGTGTTTTAGACATGAAGTCCTTGCCCGTGCCTATGTCCTGACTGGTATTGCCTAGGTTTTTTTCTAGGGTTTTAATGGTTTTAGGTCTAACATTTAAGTCTTTAATCCAACTTGAATTAATTTTTGTATAAGGTGTAAGGAAGGGATCCAGTTTCAGCTTTCTACATATGGCTAGCCAGTTTTCCCAGCACCATTTATTAAATAGGGAATCGTTTCCCCATTTCTTGTTTTTGTCAGGTTTGTCAAAGATCAGATTTTTAAGGTAGGAGGAGTTTATAATTTGATGGGACAGAGCCCCAGGCATTCACTCAGAGGGTCATGTTTTCAAGTGGGCAGGTTTCCTTTGCCTGAAAGGTCAGTACCCATGCAGTATACTTTTTCTTATGCCCTTCTTCTGTGACATCCTGGCTGCATGTCTCTTTTTGTTCTCTGCACTGCTGTCTGCTATCAGGTGGGTAAATTAGCTGAGGCTTGCTTGAATTCACAGAAGATGGAATGGTAAACTCTGTTTCCGCCATCTGAGGTTTACCAGCTCACTACTGGGAGTTGCTGGCTGCCAGCTCAGTTGTTAACTATGTAATACTTGGTTCCCCCCAGCCAGTATTTTCTGCATATGGCTCTCCAGATGGGAGCCCTGTGGAGAACAGGGGTGTTGGGAGGATCAGTCCTTTTGGCTGTTTGGTTATAACACACTTGTAATAGCACCGAAGCCTCTTGCATTGTTCTTTGGAGCAGAGCTTGATTCTCATTTTGCTTCTTTGCTGTGTGTGTCTCCCTTTCACAACAGAATCTTAGGAAAGCTTATATCTGAAAGGTGGCCAGCACTGGGGCCAGCACATGGGGGTTTTAGGGAACACAGGAGTGAGGAGTGAGCTTCAAGGAATTTGATGGGGAAACCTTTATCCTCATCACTGGAAGAGTAATTCAAGCTTAATTAAACAAGCTTAAACAATCTGTAGTTTAAGCTTTGTCTGTCCATTGCTGCCCTTGGAGTTAACTTTTAACCGTAGAGTCCTCAAAAGGCCAGAGAAGGTGCAAAGTATCCTTGTCAACTCCATGTCCCCCTCCCCAAATCCTGAAGCCTTTTCAGTAGATGTGTGTGGGGCTAGTCCATGCTGTCGGTTATCTCTAACTATGTGAACCGCCCCACCATAGCGTTCAATTTCCAGTTTTAATGTTTGTTTTTTGTTCATGTGAGCACTTAGTAACTATTAAGTCAATGTGGTCATAGAATAAAAGACAGTTGCTTTTAAGTTTCCCCCACCCCTGCTTTTGGATGCAGAATTGGAGACTCAGAGAGATCAAGTGACTTCTCTGAGGACAGTTTTGATTGTGGCAGACCCGGCTAGCACCCAGGCTCTTAGCTCCCGATGCCATGTTCCTACTGCTGTGGCATTTTGCACTTTTATGGACTTAAGTTCTAGCCTCTTTGTTTCATGAATCATTAAGAGTTTCAGGGAATACCTGGCCAACTAAGGGATGAGATCAGTCAGTAAAATGAAGGATCTAAATTTTGAATCCATGTTCCTGTTCATAATACACGTCTTTGCAGTCATTTCCCCTTGTCCAGCCTCTCTTGATGAGAGACTTTTTTAGCTTTTAGCAGGTACTGTAGCCAAAGCACCTTCTCTCTTCCATGTTCCTTCTCCAAATCATCTTTTTTCTTTTCATCAGCTGGACCATGTTTTCCTTTTCCCTTCCAAAGTCAGTCGTGCTCCACATTTTGACGGCTTTCCCTGGTTCTGTGAATTCCTTCCAAGTTGCTGCCATCTTTCTACTAATAAGCTGCCCAATACACTGTACCGGTCACCTCCCTGGAGCCTCTCACAGCCTCCTGGATGATCTTCAGCCTCTATTCTGGAAAAACCAAGGCTTACACACCACCCACTACAATGCTCTTTCAGCCCTGTGCTCTCCAGGTGGCCTTGGCTGTTACATCTTGTCGTTCATCACCCCTACCACCTTTGCAAGATTAAGGTGAGGTATATGAGCCCTTCGCTTTGGGCAAAAAATTTAAGAGGGTGCCACAAATTAAAAACCCCAGTAATCAAGACTTTTTTAAACCTACAGATTTTTTGCATTAATTTTGTTTTCATAGCATATCACATTACAGTATTATCTCTCTTGATTACTGAGTTTCTGAGCAGCTCCCTTGATTTTGGGCCCAAGATGAATGCCTGTCTTTCACACTCCATCTCTCCCATGTTCCTTTCCTCTTGGTTTTGCTCCTCCCCATCCTTTTCTGTAATTCCTCTAGTCTTCTGGCCCCTGCGGATTTATTCCTTGTGAATTAATGTTCTGTTTACATCTTCTTCCAGATTGTTAATAAAGATGTTAACACGTTCTCTAGGCCTCACTCCAACCTCGCCATAGCTGGCCCGCTATCTGGGGCCCTCTGCTCAAGAAAAGAAACTGCATTTTATCATAAGTTCTGTTGTTTACCGTCTCCTGGTGAGTATTTCCATCCCACCCAGGTTGCTGTTATCCTTGTCCAAGCGCCTTAATGTCTCATGCGCGAGGCTTGCTGAAGCTCCACGAGTGGCTTGAAAGATAAGCCCTTGTAAATAAAGCTTATGATCCTTGTTAATGTTGGGAGCTGATGGCATGCGTAGTCCAGCCAATTTGGATTAATTTTCCAAGGGAGATTTTGGTAGATGCTACGTCAACAGATTCTCTGAAATCCCACTCTCTCACCTTGCCTCCCTTTTCCTTGGCCACTCGCTCGTTTTTGCCAATTAAGAAAAGATATCACTTCCGTGGTGGGGTGTGATTTACTCTTTATAAACCCCGGTTGCTCTTCCGTGCTCAAAGTCCACTTGCTGCTTATAAACAGTGCTTTTCCTATTGGCCTTATCCTTTCAGTAGCAGCTTGAACTAGATTTACCTTTGTTTCTTTTTGTCAGAGGAAAAGATAGATTTTTATAACATAAATTTGGCAAAATGGAAGGACACTGTAGAATAAAACATCCTTTGCAAAAAGTACACACTTTTAGCAGTTCACATTTTTTAAAGAAGATAGTCGTTTTCTTGGTTCTCTGTTACCGAAGTAGCAAATGTCCATGAAACTAACTTGGGAAATAGAGAAAAACAGTAAATCACCCTTGTGCTAGCACCCCAAAATAAACACTGTTTACATCTTGGCACCTTTCCTTCTAGTCCTTGTTACATATTTATCATGCTGTAGATGCAATTTTGTGTCTTTACTTTCACATAGTATATCATAAATAGTCTCCATATTATTATGTAATCATTATAACCATCGTTTTTAAAGATTGCGTGCTTTTCAATCCAAGTAAATCTGTCTTTTTAAATTTAATCATTCCCCGTTTATTGGTCACTTAAGTTACAAATACTATTATCAGTAACAATGAGGTGAACATCTTTGTATGTATGTTTTCCTTAGTTAGGATTATCCTATACCTTAGATTCCTGGTGGTGGAATTACTATATTAAGCGTGAGGATAAACATGTTGCTAAAGTGTGTTAGAGAAGAGTTTGACCAATCAACAAAGCCTCTATCAGTGTATGAGACTATCTCTTCCCATTCCTCTTCTTGTACTGTGTAAAAATAGTTCTTATCAGTGCGTTCCTGTCACTCTAGGAGTTACTCAGGTAGACATATACATAATCACACTCTTCATAGTCCTCTGGTACATTTGTCATGCTAACAGCATTAATGATAGTAGCAATAATATCCCAACTGTTCTCTGACACACCTCTTTAACCAGCACTGTTCAATAGAAATATATTCCAGCCAAGGATGTAACGTTAAATTTTCTAGTAGACATGTTAATAATAAAAAGACATAGGTGAAATTGATTGTAATACTATATTTTATTTAGCCCAATATATCAGAGATGCTATCATGTCAGCCTGTGTCACTAGCCAAGTCTCAGGTGCTCAGTGGCCACATGTGGTTAGTGACCACTGTTGTGGATAGCACAGCTTTGAGCCATAAGCCTAAAGCACTACCAGACTCTCTTCTTTTGTTTAGAAAGGCTGTCAAATCCTTCTTTGCTTTTCAATCTTAGTTTTGGTTCTCCAAAAGTCAACTCTGAGATAAGGACTTGATGTGCAGGTAATTTATTTGGGAGGTGATTCCAGGATGCATTAGGGAGCAAGCGGGCAATATGAAAGGGAGATGATAAAGTCAAGAAAGAGCGTGACAGTGAGTGGATTGCTGCAGTGGGTAACTGGAGCTTAGTCCTGCTGGGGACCGTCTGAGAAACTGGGTGGCACCTGCCTCAAAGTTGCTCTCCACTGCAGATGCAGGGACTGGAACATGTATTTAGTGACTCCTGTCCTCCATTAATTAGTTATGGGTTGTTCCAGTGGTATTAATTACCCCACACTTCTGGGTTGTACCTGCTTAAGGCCAAGCTTGCTCTTACTGTGCTGGAGAAAGTCCTTAGGCAAAGAAAAAGGATGCAGGCTCTTGAGGTGGGTGTAGTTTGGGGGCTGAACTGCCTGCTGTCTTTGCCAGGAGACTCAGGTGGGCCAGGGATATGAGTGGGGCCTCAGCAGCACCTGCCTCTGGGCCTGTGTCATGGTGAAGTAGGGTCTTCTCCAGTGGGGCTTTTCCCAACCAGGTCATCCTTGGTTGATAGTCATCGTGGGTGATTCAGTCCATATTCTTTTATATAAGCCACAGAAACTGATTCTGGCTAACCAGGCAAAATGTAAATGATGGAGGGATGCTGGGGGCTCTCTGGATGTAATAAGGCCTGGAGGAGAGGGCTGGTCAGGATTGGGGATGGGAGAGAATAAGATTTTGTCCCATGCTGGAATAAACTGGCAGGACAGTTAGCATCTCGGAGAACAGCATGATTAGGATGCCCTGTGTTCCCTCCCTCTGTTTGTTCTGGGGAAGGAAATGGGGAGCAAAGTCACTTTGGCTTCCTTTTAGAGGTCACCACCTAAAATTATTTTCCCATTTATACTACACACAATAGAAGAAAGATAATTCCTTGATAGAAAATCAAATCGCTGTTAGGGAATGAATGCTGGGCTGCTAAAAATGGACAAATGACCACTGCAGAAGGAGATTGGGCTTTCTGGTGAAATCTGAGTAAAATTGGGCTGATTTCCTGGTTTTGATAATGTGTTATGGTTATGTAAGATGTTACCACTCAGATAAGCTGGGGCATAGGTACATGGGACCTTTCTGTACTATTTTTGCAACTTCTTGTGGCTGTATAATCATTTCAATTGGAGTATCCAAGCTTCACCTTTACGCCCTACCTCATCCTCCAAATTACTGGTGCTCAATCTTTAGACCTAAAGGTACTCCTCAAACCTTCTAAACCTGGGGAGGGTTATGCACCTATTTATTTGGATTCAACTGGTTTTCTTGCTCTGGTTAATTTATTATATTTTTTGGAGTTTATATTTGCAGATTTGATGTTGACCTGCAGTTAATTGTGGAGGATAGCAAGCAGGTCTGAAAGTGGACTGAGAGTTATACAAACCCTGCTTTCCTCCTTCTGACTCCAAGCAGGTTTCCCAAAAATGCCATTGACAACATTGACACCCTGTAAGTGAGCCATGGTTCAATGGAGACCACTCATCGCTGATCAGCCCCAGAAACTCTAGGAAGGGTTGGGTCATCCAGTTCAGAAAGCTTTGGCTCAGTCCTTTGATTTCTGCAATGTACTTGGTCAGATATATCTCTTGGTGAGAATAGAGTGGGCTAAAGCCATCTTTGTTGAGACATTTTCTCCAAATAGCAGCCATTTCTTTATGTGGCTTTCCAACCAGGGCATATTCTGAGAAGACTATTAAATTCTCACATGGGACCATTGACTTGAAGGCAGTCAACCCCTAGAGAACACAAGCTGTTCTCACTCTTCCTTCTTGCAGTGATTGAATGTCATTGCTGCCAAGGCAGAGTCTGGGCTCACGATCACAGGTGTTGTGGTGTCCGCCAGAGTGCCATCAATTTGGCCATAGCCACAGCTCCCAGGTAATGGGTATTGGAAGCCATTGCTTGTCTAAACAAGATCTGTGAGACTTCCATCCTCAGTTAGCTGTTCAATTTCTACTAATAATTCTCTAATAAACATTTGGCCAATCAGATTCAGTCTGTTACGATGGAGTTAAAACAGCTTAATTTAAGCAATAATAATAATTGACAGCAACAGGAAACACTGAGCCATATTCTTCCCACTGTCTAAGTCATTCCCTGGGAGTAAATCAAGTGTTTAAGGAGGGACATTCACGTCTGCAGGGCACTGGGGCCTTGCTCAGTCAGCTAGGGCTGTAGACATCAGATGGTCCCCAGGCCATGGCTTGCAAATCTGTGCATGGCCCAGCCCTAGGAGAAAGCCCAGGCTCACATTCTACATGTCATCCTTCTTCCCAAGAAGGCTGAGTATTTCATGAGTTTCATGAGTATGATCTCATTCTTCCTTCTCAGCTGTCTCTGGAGGGTGGGAGGGGTCTGCTTTGGGGACGCTGCTGGCAGACTTCTTTTTATTCTTTTTTTTTTTTTTTTTTTTTTTTTTTGAGACGGAGTCTCGCTCTGTCGCCCAGTCGGGACTGCGGACTGCAGTGGCGCAATCTCGGCTCACTGCAAGCTCCGCTTCCCGGGTTCACGCCATTCTCCTGCCTCAGCCTCCTGAGTAGCTGGGACTACAGGCGCCCGCCACCGCGCCCGGCTAATTTTTTTTTGTATTTTTAGTAGAGATGGGGTTTCACCTTGTTAGCCAGGATGGTCTCGATCTCCTGACCTCATGATCCACCCGCCTCAGCCTCCCAAAGTGCTGGGATTACAGGCGTGAGCCACCGCGCCCGGCCGACTTCTTTTTATTCTTAAGCCCCTTCCTGCAGCCCACTTCTTCCAAAGGCTGCAGCAAGAAGAGCCCCTTCCACTGGCTTTTTAAAGACTTGCCAAGGAGCCACACAGTGTGCTTGGGGAGGAGTGAGAGTGCATCCCCTGTTTGTATTATGGGATTTGGAATTAGGGAGGGTTTAGGTCAAATCCTGGCACCACCACACAGGTGACCTTGCTGAGGCTGTTTGCCCTCCCCAAGCCTCAGTTTCCCATAGGATTGGGGAAGGCAATACCACCTCGTGCTGTTGAGACAGTCAATAATTGATAACAACATGTACAAGATAAGTAGAAAGCTAATATGATTAATATTAACTTTATAGCAACCCCCCCGCTTGAGGCCCACAGAGAGTGTTACAACCCCTGCTTGAGGCCCACAGAGAGTGTTAAAGGAATCCTTACTGAGTCCAAAGAAAGAACCCTGTCTTCTGGTCCATAGTGCTCATGGCAGATTATGCCCATGCTGTTGGGTTTGCACTGCTGATTCAGGGATCAGACCACATGTTCTTCATAACAATGATCAGGTGCATCATTGGAGACAGGTATGCTATGGCAGAAATAACATGACTTTGAGATGAAGACAGAGCCTGTCTATTTAAATCCTGACTGCCATTTATGAGCTGTGTGGTCTGGAATGGGTTTCCTCATCTGTTAAGGAGAGAAACTGACACCCATCCATAAGCATGAGAAGAAGAGTAAGTGAGCAAGGCTGCCTGGCACATAGCAGGTCTACTGTAAATGTTCCTTTCAAATCCTCCCCTTCCTGCTTTCTAATCATGCTACCCTAAGATTGAAACTGGTGGTTATAGGAGAATATCATCCCTTCCTTTCTTCCTTCCCCCCTCCCTTTTTTTCCCACTCCCTGCAGACAGAATTGGCATTTTCCAGAGGAAGAATAGATGTTTGATTTTGTGATCCAAATTGAAGTTCCTCTTTGCCAGAAAACACTTCTCCATATGTTTGAGATTCCTTATTAAGGGAAAAAAATTCATGTTTACGTTGAGGTAAAAATGACACTTGGTTTTACCTTCTGTGGTAGGCAGAATAAGGTTGTCTCCCCAACAAAAAAAAAAAAACAAAAAAAACAAAAAAAACCCCAAAGCCAAAAAAAAAAAAACCAGAAACAAAAAATCAGGTCCTAATCCCTGAACCTGTATATGTCATCTTGTACAGGGAAAGGGTCTTTGTAGATGTGATTAAGTTAAGGATCTTGATTTGGGGAGATTATCCTGGATTATCCAGGTAGGTCCTGAAGGCAAGAATGTGCATTTTTGTAAGGGAGAGGCAGAGGGTGATTTGAACATGCACAGAGAAGGCAGTGAGACAGAGATGCAGGGATTTGAAGGTGCTGGCCTTGAAGATTGGAGTGATGTAGCCACAAGCCAAGGAATGCCATCAGCTGCTAGAAAGAAGCTGAAACAGACAAGGAGCAGACTCTACCCAGAGCCTCCAGAGGGAGTGCAGCCCTACTGATGCCTTGATTTCAGAACAGCAATACTGATTGCCAACCTTGTGCCTGCAGAACTGTGAGAGAATAAGCCACTGAGTTTGTGGGAATTTGTTACAGCAGCCATAAGAAATGGACACACCTTCATACTATTGGGACAAACCTCTGGCCAGTCTGGCTTGTGGCCACATTTTTCTGAGAGAGTCAACACCATGGGTACCTATAGATGCCAGGGGGTGGGAATGCAACCTACCAGAGATTTAACCAAGCTCTGGTCCTGTGTATGGGCTCTCACCTGCCAAAGGTGCAGCAGTTGCTTGTATGTTTCAGGATTAATGATCAAAGGCAGCAGGTCTGATAATAGGGCCTGACTTTTGTGGCCATGCAGTCGGAGCCTTGATGATGATATAAGTTAAGGAGCTTCAGTGACTAGAGACGTGGCCCAGCCCTCCAAGAATGACACTGAGCGGCTGAGATAGCCATCATATTTCATCTGATGTGCCAGCTCTGATTGCTGGGGGAGTTGCCAGGTTGTTGAGAAGCTTGAGGCTGAGACTAAGCTGCAGGCAAAGTAGAAACAAGCTGCTCAAGAACCTGTGCTTTGGTGCTGCTGCACCTATGTAAGGCAGAAGTGGGCTTCAGAGCCATGGTTCTCATTTGCCTTGTTGTGATGTGTGATCTACTGTGAGATGGGTTGCAAGTAATTTGTTACCAATATTAAAATGCTGCCTTTTGCAGAAGATTTACTTCTTTTAATAGATTGGGGCAGATTCATGGTGGTTTTGCTAACTTGCATTCTGATATGTGTTCTTGAGTAGGGCAGAAAGGGGTGGAGTTTTAGATAGCACACAGGAATTGCTCATAATCTTGGGGACACTAGGCTGGCAGGTGAGTCATGGAGATAAAAAGTGTCTGAGAGCCATGACCAAGGAACATTTACCGCTTCCCTCAGGTCGACAAATATGGGTCAGATGTGTGTCATCTCCCACCCTTGTGTCCATGGCAGACATCACTAATTGATGTGTGTGATCTCCCTACTCTTGTGCCCATGACAGACATCACTAATTGATGTGAGTGATCTCCCTACCCTTGTGCCCATGGCAGATATCACTAATTCATGTGTGTGATCTCCCTACCCTTGTGCGTACAGCAGACATCACTAATTGATCATGGCACTGTTAGGCTTGAAATCAGGCACAGAATACTTCTCAACACAGTCATTTGGTTGTCCACTGCCATTTGATCAATGGGTAAGAGGAGAGCAGAGGAAACGATAAGTGAAGGTAAAAGTAGTATGAGTTTTGTATTTTTGAACTGTCATTTAATTTTTATGTTATTGGATATGGGAAACAGTATTACCACTACCAGTTGATCAGGGTTGACCTTTGACATGACATACATTTGCCATTCCTGCTAATTCCTTCCCCAGCTTTAAGAGAATCTGCCCTAATTCCCAGCATTTTTGCTGGTCTTTCCCAAGTTTCTTTTGGCATCCGTTAACAAAAGGTCTAACCTTTTTCCCCTTTCATCAGTAAAGATAAGCTGCAGGTAGTAAAACGGGTTCCCAATTTAGCATGGCTCCTCTTTCAGAGGGCAGACATCTAAGGAGAGGTCAGCCGCTCCACTCCCCTAGCCCCTGACTTTCCTCTGGGGCCCAGGGTTCACACAGGAGTTACAGGGATTAGATTTAGAAATCAGCAACTCTCCTAAGATGAGTATTGGCTGTTCTTTTTTTTGAAGGTGAGAGTCTTGGTCAGATGGCTTGAGCACGCATGGCCGTGCACCAGGTTCCCAGAGGCGCAGGCAAGAGGGCTGCATCCAAGTTGTCCTGGAAACCGTGCTTTTTTTTTCACATTTAGGGCTGAAGGCCAGTTGCTTGCTGCCTGGGTGGGGGAAATAGGAAGGAGCAGCCAGGGTTCGGCCCCTGGGCAGAAGGATATGGTGAGATTAAGAGTGGGTCAGGGGTTGTGGGGTAAGGAGGATTGAGGGAGGAGGAGGTGAAGATGAAATGCAAAGTTGTGTCTTAGAAGTTACTGGCAGGTTGGCATTGTGAACTTGTTATCTGTTTGACATGACACCCCAGGGAGTGGCTGGAGAGACAGCAGCTGTCACGGTCATTTCTGGAGGAGGAATGACTCTGGCTGAATTTGCATTAAGGATTTCCTACCAGGGTTGCCAAGTGATTATCCCATAGGGAGATTCTGAGATCTCACTCTTTCTCCTTTTTGTATATATTTATAGGAGAATGCTTATCTACGTTGCCTAGGGCACGCTGTCCTTTCTCCCTTCCTCCCTTCCTTCATTCCTTTTCTCCTTCCTTCCTTTCTTCAGCATTTTTGAGCGTGCACTGGGCACCAAGTACTGGCTTACATACCGGGATTTGGCAATAAATAAAACAGTCCCTGCTTTTGTGAAGCTTACATTCTGGTGGGGACCGAGGTGGGGAGCAGGAGAGACAAACAATAAACAAACAAATGAACCTATAACATGGCAGGTAGTGATAAGTGCTAAGATGGAGAAGACTGAAGATAAGAGGGCACAGGCTGGTGGAGAGGGCTGGGAGGTCTTTGGGATGGGAAATCTACTTGAATGAGTGCAAGCCGAGCAGAGAGGGGAGGGCTTCACAGACATCTCGGGGAAGAGAGTTCCTGGCAGAGGGAGCTGCTAGTGCAAAGGCCCTGAGATGGAACTGTGCTGGCATGTTCAAAGAGCAGCCTGGAGGACAGTGTGGCTGGACCGGTGGTGCAGGGGTAATAGCAGATTAAGCCAGTGAGTTTATGCAGGGCCAGGCCACATAGGGTCTTCTAGGCTATGGCAAAGACCCTGGCAGCCATTTAAGCAGGTGGGGAGACTGTGGAGGGTGTAACGCAGGGGAGGGCATGAGCAGACCTGTATTTTAGAAGGGGCCACTCTGGCTGCTTCATGGGAAATGAGCCACAGGGGGCCAGGGTGGAAGCAGGAAGGACTGCTGGGTCCAGTAGCACAGGTTGTGCCCTGCTCAAGAGTACAGAGTCAAGGCTGGAAGGAGGGTCAGGAGGCTGTGTCCATGCAAGGGGAGCATCTTTCTGGAATTCATCCAAGGTGCCCTAAGGCTAATGGGACTCAGCTAGTTTGTAAACTACTTTTGCTACTTATTAATATGTCATAGACATTTCCCCCATGTCTTCAAATAGTCTTTGACAACATGCTTTTTAATAGTTGTGCAGTATTACATCACTTGGACGTACTATACTGTAATTAATCTGCCATGTTAGACATTTTACTTATTCCCAGTTATTCACTATTTTTTAAATGTGCTGATGGATGTCATTGTGCATAAATCTCCACGTACATCTCTGATTATTTCCCTGGGTAATATTTCTAGAAATGGAATGGTTGGGTTAAATAAGATGCATTTTTAAGCCTCTTGGTTATTAAATTACTTTGCAGATAACTGAGCCGAGGCTTAAGAAGGGTGAGTAACTGGCCTCCAGGCACAAAGCCAGGAAGTGGTAGGGCAGGATTTGAATGCAGGCATGTCGGTTTTGAGATTTGGAGATCTATCTTCTCCCCCACCGCCCCCGTCATACCACACTAAGGACAGCTTAGATGTCACTCAACTCACACTCAGCCAAAGGCCAGGTAGCCTCAGATTTGGTGGCCTTGATGAAGATGATGATGATGGCTGAGGAGTTGAAACTAGTCAGCTTTCTTTAATCAGCTCTGTGTCAGGAACTATATTCAGTACAGATTGTGCATATTCCCACTGGACCCTCAGAGGAACCTAAGAGCAGTAATATTTTTAGTTCCATTTTATACCTGGGGACACTGAAGGTCAGAGAGGTTAAGCAGCCTACCCAGGGTCACACAGCTGGAGAACGGGGAAGCCAGGAATGAGCCCTGTGTAATACCTTCATTCTTAACCATTCCCAGCTATAGGGCCTTCCAAGATAGGAACTATGCCCACTAGTCCCTTGAATTATAAATACTAGCTCATATAGGCTGCTGATTCACTTCACAGTCCACATTTGGTCTGACAGCTTCTGCACTCTTGCAGCTTTAAAAATAATTGTTACCATTATTATTACCATATTACTTCTATGACTATGTATTATATGATAATGGTAATATATATGCTGGTATATGCATAGTATTATATACACTAACCTTATATATATTACATTACTGTTACAACATGTTATTACAATTACTACTATTATTGCTGTACATCATTACTATGAATACTATATTATTACCATTCCCATGCTCCTTGTTGCTCATTCTGGTGTCCAGGTGGAAGGGACAAGACCACGTTTTCCTCATAGCAGAGTGCAGGGGCAAAAGGATGAGCAAAAACATCTCATGCCTCTGAAGTTATTGCCTCATGACATTATTCTAATACTCATAGCAACAACAACTATTATGATTACTATGTTAAACATAGGAGCTGATAGTTCCACGCCAGCTCCACTCAGTCTTGCTGGCTTTTCTCTCAACAACTCCTTGGGGTAGATACTTTTATTGCACCCATTTTACAGGTGGGGAAACTGAGGCCCAGAAGGTTTCATGACTTATTCAAGATCTCACAGCTTGGCACTGACATATTTTTTAACAGCTTTATTGAGGCTTGATTTACACACAATCAGCTGGAAGTATTCATTTACTTATTTATTTAAGGTGGGAACTTGCTGTGTTTCCCAGGCTGGAGTGGAGTGGCGTGATCTTGGCTCACTGCAGCCTCTACCTCCTGGGTTCAAGCAATTCTTCCACGTCAGCCTCCCTAGTAGCTGGGATTAATAGGGCATGCCACCATGCCTGACTTATTTTTTGCACTTTTTAGTAGAGATGAGGTTTCACCATGTTGGCCAGGCTGGTCTTGAACTTCTGACCTCAGGTGATCCACCCACCTCGACCTCCCAAAGTGCTGGGATTACAGGCATGAGCCACCACACCCAGCCAGCTGGAAGTATTTAAAGTATGATTTGAGGTTGTGACGTTGCATATGCCAGTGAAATCGCCACCACTGTCGAGATGGTGACATCTCTGGGGCTCTGGTGCTGATGCAGGTATGACCCTTTGTGGGAAGCCCTCATAAGTCCATGTATGGTGCCTCCTTCAGCTCTCTCACCCATCCCATTGATCCCAAGAGGAAGGTCTCAGCATCTGCTGAGCTTTCTCACAGGTAATGTTCCTGCCTACACTCTCTTCCTCCTGTCCCCACTTGCAACAGTGCTTTCTGTGGCTAAGGACCGGAATTC
Organism: Homo sapiens; assembly: GCF_000001405.40. NCBI lineage: Eukaryota > Metazoa > Chordata > Mammalia > Primates > Hominidae > Homo > Homo sapiens. Next base: position 88,087,466 of record NC_000015.10, on the reverse strand, counting down.
ATGAGGCTGAGTGACAGTGGAAATTTATTACTGGGATGGTTCCTCTAGCAAGAGGGGCACAGTGGGGGCAAAATGCAAGGGAGATGGGACCTAGACAGCAGCCCCTCCCGAGAGACCTGCCGGACACTCCCCCAGGGCCGCTTGCAGAAGACAGGGCAGGGAGAAAGACCTAGTGGAGATTGTCCTCCATGGAGCCCCTCCACCTTCCACTCTTTAGCTTGTGAACCTTATTTACTCTGCAGTACTGTTCTCACTTTCACACACGCATGCGTTTCATGACTCCCTGGGGTACCCACTTTGCTTCTGGGGAGCTTGCTGTGTACCGTTAATTGTTATATTCGCCTCACATCACGCTTAGTTAATATTTAGATAAACTGTGTGAGCAAAATGATTTTAGGTTGTGTGTGTGTTCCACTGCTGGAAACCTCTCTGTGACCCAATGCAGTGATGCACCCGTTTTTGAGCTGGGTCCCCTTGGGTATGGAGAGGTTAAGTAACTGATGTCAAATCACAGAGCCTGGAAGGGCAGAGCCTAGAAGGAGGCCATGACTTTTATTCAATTAGGCTTGGCCCACTGAAAAGCTCCCTCCTTCAGGCATGGAGGGTGGAGAGCTGCATACTTCCAGGTGAAGAGAAAAACTAGGGTCATCCACCACACAACTGCCCCAGGCTAGGAGAGGATCCCTCTTGCTACAATAATCGTTCCTGAACTTGTCTGCCCATTGAAACCACCTGCGTACTCCAAACTGCACTGAAGCATGGGGCCCGTCGCTAGACATTCTGATTTTATTGGTCTGGGATGCAGCCTGGGCTTTAGAATTTTTAAAAGATCCCCAGGGGATTCTAATGTGCAACCAAATTTAGGTCTAGAGTCTGGCACAGTGCTGTCTAATCAGAATACGAGAGAGCCCCATACATACTTTGATGTTTTCTAGTAGCCATGTTTTTAAAAAATAAAATAAACAGGTGAAATTAATTCTAATTATGTATTTTAGCCCAATATATCTAAAATACTATCATTTGACCATGTTATTTTAAAAATTAATGAGATGTTTTAAATCTTTTTTTTGCTCATGGTAGGTCCTTGAAATCCAGCATGTTTTTATAATTACAGCACATCTCAGCTTAGACCAGCCACTTTTCAAATACACAGTAATTGCATGTAGCTAGTGGCTACTGAGTTGGACATTGCAGATCGGGCATATAGTAAGTGCTCAATGAAAAATTTTTGAACACTTGAACAAATAATGGAGGCGTCATGTGCAATATCTGCAGTCGTGAGACTGGGTAACTGTTCCAAAGGTAGGAAGGTGTGGTTTCTTGGCAGAGTCCTCTCTAGAGAACGGTTCTGGTTATGTCTTAGGATCCAGGCATCGGACACCTCTCCTACCTATGAAGTCTTCATCAGCTTTGTCCTGCTCCTGCACTCTGCTCCATGCATTGGTGACATATGCCTCTTAGACTGTGATGCCTCGATGCCCTAGGCTCATTCTGTCATTGTCATCATCTGTATCACATACTATCATTTTCTCTTTATGTGTCTGCTTCTCATATATCCTATTAGCTCCTCAAGGCCCTAGCCATGTCCTCATTAATCTCTGTATCCCTATTGGCCAGCATTTAATAGATGTTTGTGGAATGAAGTAATAAACGAACAATCACATGGCGAGGAGATTTGACTGTCATCAAGCCCAGTTTTATAGGGCAAGACTGGCCAGCGCAGGTCTTAGGTGGAAGGCAGGGCTGGCTCAATGCATATTTGTAGTCTGGTTATTAGAAATTGTAAGCAATGTATCTTAGTTAGCGATTACTGCATACTGCTGGGTAACAAACCACCCCCCACTCAGTCTTTTCTGACAAGCATTTATTTCTTGTGCCCAGGCCTGTGGGTTGGCTGGGTTTGGCTGATTCCTGATGTGCTTGGCTGAGTTTGGCTCCAGGCAGTCGGTAAGGTGCTGGTGTGCCCCATGTTTCTCATTCTGGGGTGCCGGCTGAAGGGGCAGAGCATATTCTTCTCATGGCAGATGGTAGGCATGCAAGCTGATGAGCAGAAACAGTCTGTACCTCTTAAAACCTTGGCTTGGAACAGTCACTGTCACCTCCCTTGCATTTCATTGCCCAAAGCAAGTCACTGGGCCAAGCCCAGAGTCAGTGGGGCAGAGACATGGAGGGGCATGAATATGAGTTGAACAATCATCCCATCTATTACTCTAAAATATGGTTTCCTGGCTAAGGGTGATGGTGTTCCTGCCTCTGAAAACCCATCCCTTATCTAAGTGGTTATTGACTTCAGCCTGTTTCTCAACGTAGGAAGAAAGGTGGGTCAGGGATTTTATTAACCATGGTTGCTTGGCTGCACCCAGGCTGTTTCTGTTTTATTTGACATTGGCTATCTTGTTTTCTACTCTTTTGACCCTGGGAATTGGTTAACCTAAGAATTCATGCTAAACTCTCTTCTTGCTCTTGAGGGACCAGTCAAATCAGTCCCTGATATATAGGTTATCCCAGCTGTGCAGCACATGCAGATTGTGTGAACACCCATGCGGGCGCATGTACATACTATGGTTCTACATGCCCCTTGTCAAAGGGAGGATGTGGCTGTCCAGAGGCTGACCAGAGCTTACAGTGGCTCTCAGTGTGTCCTGCTCAGCTGTGCACCCATTGTAGAGTTGCCTGCATGAGAAGCCTTCCCTGAGGTTTAAGAAAATGGAGCACTCATTTACTGTCCCCTTGGTAACCTTCAGCTCTACTGGGCTGGAGGGCAGGGGGACGTCTTTGTGCAGTGCAGCTGCAGAGGAGACTCACAAGGTGAGAGGGTTGGGGGAAAGGAGACGTGAGGCTGGAGCAGTGGTCATTCTTCCAGCTCTCTGGCTTGGACCTTCCAAGTTCACTGCCATTCCAGAGACCTTGCCAGAGTCCACAGTTGAGCTCAGACCAGGGACTTCGGGCCATTTCCAGAGGAACCTGCTTGCAGCATTCTGTTTTGAGTGAAGACGCTGCTTCCAATGAAGCAGAATGGAACTCCTGGCTTGCCTCCTCTCCCTCCTGCAGCCTGCAGGCCTAAGTGGGCTCTGAGGAGCTCAGTCTTGGCTGTGAACAGGAGAACAATTTTACCCTGAACTAGCCTAACCCTGCTTCTTTCTCCAGTCTTCTCCTGGTCAGATTTGGCTGCTTTTAGCATCTGTGTCTCCCATTGGGGTGCAGGGGAGTGAGGGGGCAGTGGGACATCCTTTTAGTTGGTTGGGGTCTCTGGGGAAGCAGGAGCTTTGAACGCAGTTTGAACCCCTGAGCGCTCAAGTTCCTTTTCTCTTGGCACAGTATGATTTCCTGTTTCGAAGAAAAAAACCCCAGAGTTTTAAGACCTTAAAAAAAAAAAAAAAGGCACTTGGACATGAAATGGCTCTTACAAAACAGCATGTTGATGAGTTAAGTATAAATGAATCAGAGACATATGGATTAAATTTTCCTTGCAATCCACAGGGGCTTTAAAATTAGGGGAAGAGTGTTTGTTAAAACGTGTGTGTCTCTGCCAGGGTCTGGGACAGAATTGGAGGCTGTGGGATTGCTGGAGAAGCCTTACACCCCTCCCCTCCCCAACTTTCCCTACCGTGATAATAGGGCTTGGAGCCAAGGAAGTTACTACAAGTCTTAGGTTCCTTCTTGTTTACTCCTCAAGCCTAAAGCCCTTTTAATTGCTTTTAATTGAATTGTTCCTCATATATCTCCCCTGTGCCTTCAAATGGGGGAACAGGCCAACATCTAACTCTTGCAGTGACTTTGAGCCAGCGGGGTGAAGGCAATTGATGTGAGCCACAATGACATGTGAGATATTACTGCCCACTCCTTCTTGACTATGAACTGTCCCATCTTGGCCCATACTGTCTTAACCCTTCCAGGCAACACAAATAATCTGGTGTGGTTCAGACACGCTATTAGAAAACTCCTGGCCGGGCGCGGTGGCTCATGCCTATAATCCCAGCACTTTGGGAGACTGAGGCAGGTGGATCACTTGAGGTCAGGAGTTTGAGAACAACCTGGCCAAATGGTAAAACCTTGTCCCTACTAAAAATAGAAAAATTAGCTGGGCATGGTGGTGGGTGCCTATAATCCCAGCTACTCCAGAGAGGCTGAGGCAGGAGAATTGCTTGAACCTGGGAGGCAGAGGTTGCAGTGAGCCGAGATTGGGCCGTTGCACTCCAGCCTGGGTGACAAGAGGGAGACTCTGTCTCCCTCCCAAAAAAGAAATACCACTCCCCTCTCTCCTGTGGCCAGGAACAGAGGACCGTGCAGGGGTGGAGAGGAGGGTTGGTAACTTCTGTTGCAGATCTCTGTGATACTATTCTTGAAATCAGGAGAAGGTGGGAGCTGCAAAGTCTTTTAGTCTCCTGGTAGGAATAAGGACACCAAAGGGATGATTGGTTTTTCCCACCCGCAGTCATCCAGACATTCCAAAGTATGTTGGCCTTGAAGTTTTTATCCTTCCCTCTTAATTTTTGACCAAGGAGCAGAGAAACACTGTATATTTGGAGAAACCCTGAGTAAGCTTCTCTGTGTTGTTGTTTTGCCTGAGAGCCTTTTGGGCAAGAGAAGTCTTTGTGGAAGCCCCTGTGTAAAAGAGATAAAGAGCTGAATCAGATAAATCAGGGGTAAACATCTCCCGGCCCCAGTTAGACCCCGATTCCGTTTCCTTCCCGGCTTAGTGGGACCTGTAGGTCTCTTGGGAACACACTCTGCAAGCCTATTAGTATTCTAGAGTAGGAATCACTACATTCTTTGGCTCTTAGCTCCAGCAGCAAAATTAATAAGTGTCTCATGGACATTATGTTGAGTGAAAGAAGCCAGACATAAGAGAGAACATGCAATGTGATTCCATTTATATGAAGTTCAGAAATAAGCAAAACTAATCAATGTGGATGGAAGTCAGATAGCAGTTGTTTCTGATAATGATTGGGTGAGAGCATGAGAGAACTTTCTTGGGACACTGGAAACGTTCTGCATTTTCATCTGGGTGGTGGTGATACAGGTGTACACACATGCAAAAACTTCCTGAGCTGTACACTTCAGATCAGCACTCATTGCATGTATGTGATCTGTTCATTAAAAAGTAAAAAATTCATTCTCTCTTCTTCCCCGCTGCTGAAGTCTGGGGGCACCATGGTCAGGTGAACCTCTTTTTTTTTTTTTTTTTTGAGACAGAGTCTCACTTTGTCACCCAGGCTGGAGTGCAGTGGCACGATCTCGGCTCACTGCAAGCTCCACCTCCCGGGTTCACTCCATTCTCCTGCCTCAGCCTCCCAAGTAGCTGGGACTACAGGTGTGCGCCACCACGCCTGGCTAATTTTTTTTGTATTTTCAGTAGGGACGGGGTTTCACCGTGTTAGTCAGGATGGTCTCCATCTCCTGGCCTCGTGATCTGCCTGCCTCAGCCTCCCAAAGTGCTGGAGGTGAACCTTTTAGAGTCTGAGCTTGGAGATTGTTGTAGGAATGAGGGCAGAGCCCAGGGGGAGCAAGGCATAAGAAGGGTTGCCCTTGGAAAGAAAAAGCAAAGCAGGGTTTTGGTGACACAGAGGGCCACAGCAGAGTTGAGTGCACCTGAATGGGCTCTGATCGAATGGCCTCAGCCTCATGAGAAATGCACAGTAAGGTGGTTGGGGAGGGTTTGGCAGGGCCCTGGAGGTTGGGGGCTGTTACCATATGGAGGAACAAGCGGGCATGGGAACCAGCCCTGTCTCAGGTACTTCAGCCCCATTTATGGAGAGACCACTTTTGCCCCTCTCTGCGCCATTTTGACATGAAGAGGATTCTGGGGGCTCAGAAGGAAGGGGGCACTGCCCACACAGCCCTTGCCTCCTACCCTTTCCGATTCAGAGGGACTGGGCGTGTTGGAGGCACACAGAGGATGGAGTGTCCACGACCAGCCCACTAGGATTCCAGAAAGGGCCCATGCCTGTCATAGGCAGTTGGAAGTTTGCTTGAAGAGATGGAATGAGACTTGTTGGGCTAGCATGTCTGGGCTCTGGTTGGGAAACATGGTCGGTCAGTGGGATTGAGGAATGTGGCCTGGACAAAATGTGACGGCAGTTTGCATAGTTCTGAGGCCTGGATGGGAGTGGTGGCAGGGGCGCACTTGGGGTGTCCTGGTTGTCCAGCAGGTGTGGGACACATCCCACCTGTCCCACTCCACCCCATCCTTCTGTCACCTTCTGAGCCTAGGTACTGGTCATTGGATCCAGGCCCTAAGGCTTTCTGTCTCATTTCTAGGGTCCATATATGGAGGCCTCAATCTCAGCCTGGCCAGGCACACTCACGCAGGAGGGAGATTTCAACAAGCTTTGGGAAACAGTTTTCTTTCCAACCCAAGCAGCTGCCCTTTGCCAATCTGTGCTAGAAGTGAACTATACACAGCTCTGTTTAAGAATTCCCCTTCCAGCTAATTCATCCCAGCCTCTCTCCGCTTAGTGCAAGGACAGGGGAACTGAGCATGGTGACTCTCAGAGACTTAAGCTGCCATGTAGTGGCACTTTCATTCTCGAGGCATAAGTCATTTTTTTTGGCCTTGACTGGTTGGACCAACACTGCCAGTTGCACCTGTGTGCCCACTTTCCTTCCTTCCCAATGGAGATGGCAAACTGCTTCCATATGGAGGTCATTGGCACCATGCTTGCTTCCCCTGCCTGCTGCTCTCCACCTCTGATGAAACCAGGCCAGGGACTAACCAGCCTCAGTTGTTTGGACTCTGGGTCTTTGCTCCTGCCTTCCAATCTGGGGCTCTTTGGCCATGAGATTGGAAGAGCCACGTCACTGTGGGGTTTAGCCAAACCTACTGGGACTTCCTGTAAGTGATGTTTGGTCCTCAGGCCCAGGGTGGCTTTTGGAGTAACTTTTCCTTGTAAATTGCCAGTTGCCTTTGGGCTCTCAAAAATCAGCATGAAGAAGATAAACAAAAAGCAGGAACAGGCAATTCCCAGAATTAGAAAGTAAAATGGCTAATAAACATATGGAAATTTGTTCAGCTTAAGTAGGGATCAAAGAAACATTAATTAAATCAGTTACAAGATTCTGTTCTCCCCCATTAAATTGGCAAAAATAATACATGATGGTTTAGATATAGAGAAAAGGGGGCTCTCATTCCCCTGCTATAGGGAATTAAATTGGTACAACTTTACCAGAGGGCTTGTTTGACAGTATTTTTCAAAAACCTTAAAAAAGATATTCTCTTTGACTGAGCAATTCCATGTTTTGGCATGTTACTTACCTTAAGGAAATAATCAGAGATGGCCACAAAAGTTCACATACAAGGTTGTGTATTGAAGTGCTATTTGTAATGATGGAAAATTGGAAATGATTGAAATGTCCAACAATACAAAATCTGTTATGTAAATCATGGTTCATTCAAATAATGAAACACCATGAAACCATTAAAATATGTTGTAGAACAATATGTAAAGACATGAAAAATATTTACGGTATTTGTTACATAGAAAAAGTCAGATTGTATTTAATATAATCCTAATTTTATATTGACAACAAAAAATCCATATTGGTGCATAGAAAAAAAAGAGTTGGAAAGATATATGCCAGCCATTTAATTGGGGTTATTTCTAGGTTTGGAGATGATGGGTGATTTTTATTTTTATTTTCTTCGTGCTTTTCTTTCGCCATCTTCAAGTTAGGGATTTAATGCAAACTTCTTTGAATTTTAAATTGTTTCCCATTTTTTATTCATAATGTATTGATGACTGTCCTTTACTTAAATTATTGCATAGACTTTTGTCAGTTCATGTAAGTGGAATTTTGGAGTCAAATGGCATGTCCACTAAATCCATGTTGCTTTTGTAATTAAAAACAAAATTAAATCCCTTTAGGGTTTTGTTCTAGAATTCTCTTGCCACTAATCAACCCCTATCAGCTGGCTGTATGCTCAAGTCTGCTCTCCCTTTAAGCTATGAGCTGAGAGCACGTGCCTGCCAGTGCCCTGGAGACAGAATTTGTCAGGGAGGTAGGCTCTGCCACCATTTTTCCCAATTCCTCTCTGTACTTGTCTGCCTCCTAAACTTCTGGAAGCAGGGGCATCCTGGTATATCCGTCCGCTTTCTTGGCACCTGTGACTGATGGCAGGTGCGCTGGGGAAGGGAGAAAAGCTCTAATGTGTGTGAGGACCTGCTCTGTGCTAGCTGCTGGCCTAGCTCTTGTCAAAACGCTGATCGTCTTTGATGACTCTCTTACTTCACATCTAATCCCAGTCTCTTTGTTCTGACTTCAAACTGTGTCACGAGTCTAACCATTTCCCAGCACCTCCACAAGTACCACCTAGTTCCTGCCACCATCCCTTCTTGCTCCACAGCTGTGAAGGCTGCCCGCAAACGCCACCCCTCCGCCAACACCACATCCACCGACTGGGCTCCCCATGTTCACCTGTTCACCTGTGCTCCCTGCACTCCCATCTCTACCCAGCAGCCAGAGGGGTCCTTTGAGAACACACTGTGAGGCTCCCTCCAGTCCTTCAGACCCACTGGGGTGCCCCATCGCATGCAGCGGAAAGCCAAAGGCCCCACACCTCCTGACCTAAGCCCCTGCCACTTTCCCCCGTGCTCGTCCACTCTGGCCACATCAGCCTTTTTGCTGTTGCCCAGATATAGAAGAACATCTTCCCTTAGGACCTTTGCCCTGTGTCTCCCTCTGCCTGGAGTGTCGCTTCCCCAGGACTCCTTATGGTTCATCCCCTGCTGAGCTTAGGTCCCAGTTCTGAGGTCACAAGGTGGCAGAGGCCTTCACTTACCTCACTTTTCTTTTGTTGTTGTTGTTGTTTTTAACTTTGAGATGGAGTCTCACTCTGTTGCCCAGGCTGGAGTGCAATGGTGCGATCTTGGCTCACTGCAACCTCCACCTCCCGGGTTCAAGTGATTCTCCTGCGTCAGCCTCCTGAGTAGCTGAGATTACAGGCGTGCACCACCATGTCCAGCTAATTTTTGTATTTTTAGTAGAGACAGGGTTTCGCCATGTTGGCCAGGCTGGTCTTTGAACTCCTGACTTCAAGTGATCCTAGGCCTCCCGAAGTGCCGGGATTACAGGCGTGAGCCACCGCACCAGGCCTGACCCCACTTTTCTTTAACCCCACTTTACTATTATCGAAGCACCTGTTGGGACGTGCCATGTGAGGTATGTGCTTCTTCGCCAATAAGGACAAAGCTCCCTGAGAGCAGGGACTTTCTGTATTGCTGTACCTCTACCCCCAGAACATACAATAGGGTGTACATTGCAACAGACCCTGAGCCCATGCTAAGAGGACAGAGCTGAGGAGGTGCCGAGATGTCAAGAGACCCATCTGTTCAAGGACATGATGTATACACCTTATAGATTCAAGCTTCTGTCCAACTCTGAATGTGTTTGTCCTCTATTCTTAGAGGCATGGCCCCTGGGCAGGGGGTTGCTGTCTTTGCTGCCATTCTCAAACCAATGGGAGCTGCTGGCTGGATCCCTGTAGCCCAGGAGGCCTGTGGGGCCTGTTAGGACATGATCCGAGATTTCCTGTGAGATTCTGTCTTTGCAGCCCACACTGCTCTGTCCTCAGTTGGCTGTGTTGTGTGGTTATTGGTGCCAGTGTTTCTAAGTTGTGTGTCTGGGAAGGAGACCCACCTGTTATTTTACAAACAGGGTAAAGTTCCTTGCCTAGAGGCTCAGGCAGGAAACGGGGCCACATCCCAACTCCGTGACAGCTCCAAGTACAGGAGGGAGGTTTTTAGAGTGTTTCACTCAGTCTTCCCACTTGCTGCCTCATCCTTGTCATTATTTATGATTTGTTGAGTACCCCTACTGTGTTCAGCAGGCTAGGAGATATAACGTCGTCGTTGTTCCCCTGCCTGAGGCCTTGGAGTCTAATGTAGCCAGACAAATGACTCAGGCATAAACCACCTTCCCAGGAAGGTGCTTACTTCTCCAAAGTGCCGGGTTTCTCAAGGTTTTGATTTGCACGTGGCTTTCCATTTTTAAACTCCCATGGGGAGGCGTGGAGACAACTCTGGGGTGAGGGCGAGGGTGGGGGAGGCAGGGCTGGGAAGGCAGACTGGAAAATGTTGGCTACGTAAGGGTTTTTGAGAAGAAATGGCATTCCAGGCAGCATTTCTGAGCCATGCAGTTCGTGACTCAAGATAAAACATTGGTCTGGGGTCAAGATGTTGCTGAGAACAGAGAAAGTGAAGGCAAAAACCCAGTGAAGGGAGCAGGAATGGGAGGAAGGGGCCAGAAGCCAGGGGAAAGTTTAGCAACTGAAGGTAGAGCAGAAATATTTATATCCATCCAACTGTCCATTCCTTCATTTATCTGCTTGGAGAAATGCAGTTTCATCCTCAAAAATGTTTTATTTATTTATTTATTTGATGGAGTCTAGCTCTGTCACCCTGGCTGGAGTGCAGTGGCATGATCTCGGCTCGTTGCAACCTCCGCCTCCTAGGTTCAAGCGATTCTCATGCCTCAGCCTCCCGAGTACTGGGACTACAGGCACATGGCACTGCACCCGGCTAATTTTTTGTATTTTTGGTAGAGGTGGGGGTTTCACCATGTTCACCAGGCTGGTCTCAAACTCCTGACCTCAGGTGATCCACCCACCTCGGATTCCCAAAGTGTTGAGATTGCAGGCATGAGCCACTGCACCCAGCCTCAAAAGTGTTTTAAAACCTGTGGTTCCCTGCTTGCTGGATAATGTTAGGCCCCCTTTGTGCTTTCTCTCATAGTACACTGTACTTTTCCTTCATTGCATTCGTCACAGCTTTAAGTGCTTTTTTTTTTTTTTTTTTTACATATGTATACTTACTTGATAAGTCATCAGCTCCCTCCTAATGCTCTGTGAAGACAAGTTCCCTGTCTATTTTCTTCTTGTATCCCCTGTCTGAGAGCAGTTTTTGGCATGTGGTAGGTGTTTACATTGAAATATTATTTGAATAAATGAAACCATCAATGAAGGCAGTGAAAGAAGCCTCATCTGGTGCACTAGGGGATTAGAGGATGATGTAGTGAGGGGTCAGGAGAGGACTTGAAAGAGGAAATCCCACTTAATCTGCTCTGATATGGTTTGGCTGTCTCCCCACCCAAATCTCATCTTGAATTGTGGCTCCTATAATTCCCATATGTTGTGGGAGGGACTCAGTGGGAGGTAACTGAATCATGGGAGTGGGTTTTCCAGTGCTGGTCTTATGATAGTGAATAAGTCTCATGAGATCTGATGGTTTTATAAAGGGCAGTTCCCCTGCACACATCCTCTTACCTGCCACCATGTAAAACATATCTTGCTTCCACCTTAGCCTTCTGCCATAATTGTGAGGCCTCCCCAGCAAAGTGGAACTATGAGTCCATTAAACCTCTTTTTCTTTATAAATTACGCAGTCTCAGGTATGTCTTTATTAGCAGCATGAGAACAGACTAATACATGCTCTGTGATGCTTCCTAAATCTACAACAATAGCACCACCACCATCAAAACCAGTGTCTAGCCTAAGCTGAAAGCTGAGTGTGTGCCAGGCTCTGAGTTTAGTGCTTCACATACATGATCTCATAGAAAGTACGTATGACTATCCTTATTTCGCAGGTGAGGAAACTGAAGCCCAAGGAAGCTGAATAATTTGTCCCCAGGCACATGGTCAGCAAGTAGTAGAATTGGGACTCTCATGTGACACCCCCTGCCCCCACCAAGTGGTGCTCAGGGTCCCTCTACTTTGTGGCCTACAAAACAGTATCTACTGTTGTTGCAAATAACCATCATGGAACCGAAGCAAGAGAAATTGCAGCTGGGTGGAGGGAATTTTGAGGTACATGGATGCTCTTCGAGAGAGAGACTTTTAGAAATACAGCAACAACAACAACAACAACAACAAACATAAAGAAAAAAGGGAGACTTCTCCTTTGGAGACTTATAAGAAGGGAATGTGAATGGTTAGGGTGAAGTGGCTCTGCTGGGGTCCTCTTTAGGGACACAGTGGGGCTCAGGATTCTCCTGAGGTTCCTTTCAGGGCGTTGTCTATTAGGACCGTTAAGCTGCTAATGGAGGGTGACAGTGCTTGACATTTGGGTAATTAAAACATCTACTGACTGAATAATAACTTTTTATTGACAGTCATACTGGTGAAGGCAAAATTAATTTGATTTTTGACATCCTCGCTGAGTTCCCGGCTAGACAGGGGCTGACGTCATGCAGATAGAGTTGTTGACCCTGTGGATGGTGGCTCAGGCCCTCGGGTGGGCTTGGCTCAGGCCCAGCATGCAGGAGCCAGGGTGGTCAAGTTCATGGCAGGGAGGCCCAGCTGATCCAGGCAGCTGAGGGATGCACACTGCAGGGTCACTGTACAGTTTACATGTAGGTTCCAACACTAATTCTAGAAGGAGTTTGGGGAGATATTGTTTAAGGTGGAAATGTGAGGTGCCTTATAGTCCATTAATAGTTAGAACAACCCCCTGGAGCTTACAGGTCAGACAGGAATCGTGGAGTGGAATTGGGTGTAAGGGGAAAAGGGTGCCGGGAGATGTAGAAAGTCCCTTACATCATACATCAGCTCACTTGATTCCAATAACTATCATAGGTGATTATTTTATTCCCATTTTACAGATGGGAAAATGGAGGTTCTGAGAGCTCTGGCACTGTGCCTTAAAGATAGCACGATTTAAGGACCGGCGTTGCTTTCTGACTAGGTCTGTCAATTCGAATCCCAAGGAACCTGTATATCAAGATGAATTTCTCTAGTTTGATGGTAGAAATGGGATGGTCCAGGAAAAGAGAGATTTTCTTTGGCAGAGCCACAGGAAAACCACATCATATACGGCTATTGATGTCATCATTTACTAGCAAGAGGATGCTGGGTGGGAGTGACCCAAGCCAAAGGGTGTTTGTTGCTCTTTCCATGATTAGGGCCTGGGTGAGAATCCTGTCTCCACTTCTCTCGGAGCTTGAGTCATCCAGGGGACAGGATCAGCCTGATGTCAGAGACAGGGACTCACCAGTGGTCTAGAGCTGCACTCTCCAATACGATGGCTGCTAGCCGTGTGTGGGCAATTTAAATTAACTAAAATGAAATAAAACTTAAAAACCAGCTTCTCAGAAGAAGTAGCCACATTTCAAGAGCTCAGTAACCACATGTGGCCAGTGGCCACCATTTTGGGCAGTGCCATGCACTTCATCATTCTAATGGATGGAGCTGGACCAGAGGCCACCTGGTTCTTTCCGGCAGCAAGACAAGAGAGGACACTGCTTTTATTTCCAAGCTGTATGACTTTGAGTATAATACTTAGTCCTCTGAGTCTCTGTCTCCTCTTCTGTGAAGTGGGAAGTGGGGGCTACAGTGAGAACTAAACCCAATGGTGTACATTAAGCTTGCTCCATGGCGCTTGGCACATGGTCGGTGTTCATCAGGGGCTGGTAGCACCTGCATATTCCGGAGAGACAGAGACAAGCCCCCTTGGTCTGGTATATTTCTTCTACAGATCAGTTTCCATTTGGTGAGTTACCTGAGGCCACACATCTTCCTGCCTGGTTGCTTCTGGAATACATAATACCAGAAACAAAGAAACAAACAAAGAAATAAAAACAGAAAACAAACCATTGGAGACACATGCTTTTTTCTCAGTCTTCCCCCATGAACACCCCTGTCTTGCCATCCTACCAAGCCTCTCTATTTCCTCTTCCCTGCGGGGTGGGGCGGGGGGGTGTTGCAGCACTCTGGACCCTCCCCCAGGGCTTGCATCCTTAGATTTTCTCTCTTGCCTTCTTCTCTCTTTGTCCTTCAGGCAAAGATAACAAGTTCAACTATTTAACTCCTGGAGCTTGTTAATGAGTTATAGAATCTCCATTATTTTGTACCTGGGCAGCCTAAGGGTGGCTGTTAATGGCCCACAGGAAAGCACTCTGGGTTTTCTTTGCTTATACTGCCCTCCCTTCCTGGAAGAAGGGGCGGCAGGATGTAAACTGGCCCATGGTTGTCCAGCTTGAGCATGCTTATGAGCCACCTGAAAGGCTTGTGACAACACCCGCCTCTGGGCCCCACCCCTGACTCTTGGATTCAGTATATCAGTAACAAGCTGGGAGCTTGACTTTCTCACCAGTTTCCAGGTGATGCTGCTGCTGCTGACCTGGGGCTCACACTATGGGAATCACTGTTTTAGGCCATGCTTCCCAGTCAGCTGAATGCTCTTGAACAATCTACATTAGCATTACACAGAGGGCTTGTTAACAGGCAGATCGCTGGGCCCCTGCCCCAGAGTTTCTCTTCCAATTGTGGGAGAAGGATGGAACCCAAGAATGTGCATTTTTAACAAGATCCCAGGTGAGGCTGATGCTGCTGGTCTGAGAACCAGGCTTTGAGAACCGCAGGTGTCTTTACACCAATGTTATTAATAGCTCTGGGATCTGTCAGGCATGAGAGCAAAGCCTGTCTCACCACTCCGTGACCCTCAAGCTACCTGAGCCCCATTTTTCCCATCTGTCAAATGGGAACTATGGGCTTCTAAGATTGTTGTGAGGATTGAATAAACTAATGGTTGATGCTTAATAAATGCTTGGTTTTTCTCTCCTCTGAAGGTGAGCTGTCTTGACTGGGCTGATGCTGGGCTGCCAGGAAAAAGAACACGCATAACTCCGGATTGGCCCATGATGGCTTCCTGCTGTGGCCCAGCCAGCACTGCCCGCTTTCCCTCTCTTGCTCCTCAGCCTGGCAGTCCTTATTAGCCTCTCCCCCAAAAGCCAGGTTGCCAAACCTCTCAGCCTTCAAGTGCCCATCATACCTCTGCCCTCTTGGTACAACTTCCCTGAATTCTTCAAACCAAGGGTGTCTCATCAAATTGTGCATTAACTGTGTTACAATAAGAATAAACTGTGTTTATTTCTAGATGGCCTGGAGCTTTTGGCTGTCTTGCTTAAATGTGACTCAAAGCAGTTAAAAAATAAAGAAGGAAATAAAATGAAAAACAACAACGGAAAGAAGAAAAGGGCAACCTCAGCCTGATGAAAGACTTGGAAGAGTGAGACCTCTCCCTCTCCGGAATAAATTGCTAGTTGCCTTTCAGTGTCTTGCACTGTAATTGATTCAAAGAAAACCAAAATCAGCCCTGAGCTGAGCTGGTCTGCGTCACTCTGCTCTGGGACTCCCGAGAGCCCCTGAGGGGAGTATGAAAAGGATGTTTGGGGCCAGGCGCGGTAGCTTATGCCTGTAATCCCAGCACTTTGGGAGGCTGAGGCAGTCGGATCATGAGGTCAGGAGTTCGAGACCAGTCTGACCAACATAGTGAAACCCCATCTCTACTGAAAATACAAAAAATTAGCCAGGCATGGTGGCGGTGCCTGTAATCCCAGCTACTCAGGAGGCTGAGGCAGGAGAATTCCTTGAACCCGGGAGGCGGAGGTTACAGGGAGCCGAGATCACACCACTGCACTCCAGTCAGGGCAACAGTGCAAGACTCCATCTCAAAAAAAAAAAAAAAAAAAGATGTTTGATTTTGCCTGGGGTCTGTGAGAACCCTGGAACCCTGGAAATCTTTCCAGGATTCTCCATGGACTGTGTTACTCTGCCAGGGCAGGAACTACTAAGAGCCAAGGCACCAAAAGAGGACTCAAAAGCTGGACAGAGGCAAGGAGTATGGGGCCTCAGAAGAGCAAACACAAAAACAAAAATTCTCTGCCTGCTAATTCCTACTTCTGGCACAGTTGTGGTCCTTTATAGCATAGGTAGTCAATCCATTTTCTCTAGTATTCTCCCATAAGGAGCATCAGCGCTTTCAAGCTATGTAACTTGGAGTATGTTATTTAGTCTCCCTCAGCGATCCTAGCTATAAAATGGGAATAATAACGTCTTACCTCTTAGGCCCACTGCTCAGATTGAAATTATGTTCATAAAATCAAGCAGTATGCTGCCTAACCATAATAGGTGCACAATAAATATCTGTTCCTTTTTCCTTATCTCAGCTGTATCAGAAGCACTGATGTAGCTGTTCAGAGATAAAGGTGCTGCTCTTGGATGCATTAGCTTGTGCCAGCCCATATAACTTCCCTGGTATTCTGGCCTTGGCCAAGTGAGACTGACACACTGGAAGAGAAACCCAAACAGAAGTGACAGGTTGAAATCTCGGCAGCAGGCACTGTGGCTCCCTCCACCTGCAGCTTGTGCTCAGGAAGGAAGCAGGCAAGGTGAAGAGAGGCCTCCCAGCCAGGCTGCTCCCTGCAGAGTCAGTCAGGAGGAAAGTAGCACCCGCTTCTGCCCTCATCGCTGGGATGCAGTGAGTCCTCGGGCCTCAGGTGCAAGGAGGTATGTGCAATCCTCAGTTCATCGGGCCTGGGACTTAATCGGAGCTGCCTCCTGCATGACTGCCATCCTTCTTCCCTGGGCAGTTTAGACTCAGTGAAGATGAGTTAGGACATGAAGAATGCAGTAGGATTGAACCCTAATCAGATCATTACTACAGCAAGAGAAAAAAATCATTCCAGGCCCAGGCTGATGTCTCTTTCTGTATCTTTTATTTATTTCCTAATAGCCTTTATTTATCTGTTTTTCTGCTAGAGGGCTAGGAATCTTCCTTCTCCTCCTCCTTTTTATCTTGCCTTCCTTTTCTCTCTCCTTGGGTTTTGGTTATGGCTTTTCTTTTTGGGTGCTGGTTAAATGTGGTCCTGAGGCCCCTTGTTGTCAAGAACATCATTCACTGATTTCTAGTTCAAGACAAGAAGAAACATTTTGCTGTGGTGCTGGCTCAGGCTTTTACTACCAGGCTTCCCTGCAGACCTAGGTGGATGTTGAGTGGACAGGTGGTTGGGCTTGAGTTTCACTGGGCTGGGGGAGTGGGTGGAGGGGAGTGAGGAGAGGCTACTGGAGATCAGGAAGGAAGGAGGGGAGTGGATCTGGGAATGGGAGTTTGGACTAGGGCTGATTTTTGGCCACTTGAATTTAAGGAGTCCTCCTGACATGACCTTCTCTAATTGAAGGAAGCAAAGCTGATTTCTGCCTCTGTATCCCTTGTCATGTTTCTCTGCTCCTTTCACCACATCCAGACCTGTGATGACTCTGTATGTGAATGGCCAGAATGCCCACAGAGACCCCAGCGCCCCTCTCTGTGGGTAGCCCGCCCCTGCTTGCCTTCCTTCTGGCTCAAGTTGGGGGACGATCAAGGCAGGAGCTTGAAGGGAAAGAGGAGGGCTCTTGCTGTCTCTGGTAGACCTGGCAGAGGTAACTCTAAGGAAACTGCCCAAGGCTGCTAGATCTCAGGGCATTTGGTACTTCCTAGATCTCCTTCTAGTCTTTACCTTTTCTCCTCTTCTCATTCGTTTTTAGAATAGCATTGCCCATAGAGGCCAGTTTTCTGTTAAATTCATAGAGGACGTCTCATATTTCTCTATTGATAACCCTGAATCACATGGTAGCACTGAAGGATGCTGGCAGGAAGGAAGAAGGGAGCAAAAAGAAACAGCTGTGAGATGGATTTGGGGCAGCTGAGGTTGCAACATGTTCTGCAGTAACAAGTGTATCCCTTCCTGTGGTGTCCTGGATCTTTCTGAGATCGCCCTAGACTCTCAACAGCGACCTGTGAGTTCTGACTTTCCAAGTGCCAGAGAGGAGGCACCTTGTATTTCTGGGCTGTTCGGGGCCTGAGATCCCTGGCCTTTTCACCAAGCCAGCTTCCCTCTGTGAGTTCAGCAAATGTATTTGGACGTGTACCATGTAAACAGTGAAACACTAAAGGAGAGAATGAGAAGAGGCAGATGGAAAGCTGGAGCTGGCATCTGGCAGTTTGGAAGCAAAATCCTACGTGTTCTGTGCCAATTTCCTTCATATCGTGGCCCCATCTGCCTCCAGCCCTGTTAACACAGGCCTGGGCATCTCTGGATCCTGAGTGATAGTGTTCTGCTTCTTGCTCCTTAGCATCTTCCATTGGCATTCCTCTCCAAGAAGCATGCTTCTTCACGGGAGGTTCCGGTGTAGCTCTGCCTACACCCAGGCTCCACACTTCCATTGCTCCCCCTGACACCGCTGCATCATCCTTGGAATCCCAGGTGTTAGCATGCCACCTCAGTTTTCTGTGTAGTTCTGGTAGTCTTAATTAATACCTTTAATTCTTTCCCTACTCTGGAAAAACTTGTTGAATGTGACTCATCAAGATGGTAGCAAACCAGGACTTGAAATAATAATCATAGGTCTTTGGGGTGCTCTACCATGAGCTCATACAGCCTCCTTTCTGACAACCTTTTATATGGTGATGCCACTTTGGATTGAGAAGGCAAGAGGAACTTGCCCAGAGGTGGTTATGATTGATCTCTTTCTGCAAGGTTGTCCTAAAGTTTCATGCTTCTACTGTAGGACTTGAGAGTGGGACTGAAGTTTCAAGATCTGAGGCTGCAATGTTGATAACTTTTGGCAGTCTTCATCTCCCCATGATTAAGCCTTCCTTGCCGGTGACCTTCATGTACACTCCATTACAGCCCCATAATAGCCAGTTCTTGGCTTGCTTTGTGGCTTGGAATTTCTCTTCAATCCAGACGTACCTACCTCTCTTTCTTCCTTCTTCCTGCTCTACTTTCCTTTTTGTACCCTACCTTGACCTCTAATCTCTTGGTCTCCTCTGATACCTGGGTCCTCTTGGCTCCATTTGCTTCCCCATCGAGACAAACCCCATTGTTAGCCAGTAAATGGCATCTCCCTGGAGCCCCAAAATCTGCTCCCTCCTTGCCCTTCTTGCTCTGCCTGCTTTGACGACCCCTACCCTACTGTCCTGAGTTGCTGAGCAGGATAGCCACGGGCCCATGCTAAGTGGGTTCAGTGCAGATCTGCCATGCAAACCCCAGCAAGACCCCTTGCTGCTTTTTGGCAGGCCTTTGATTCAGCTTTTGTTGACCTCACAGCAGCTGCTTGCCTTGTCTATCCTTTCTGAGCCCTATATCTTGGCTTTTAAAGTCTCAGTTAATATCTTGCATGCTTTGTTGAACATGAAGCTGCCCAGTGCTGGTAGTCAAAGTATTCCTTTTTCTAAACCTTAATAGTGTTTTTTTGTTTTGTTTTGTTTTGTTTTGTTTTTTTGAGATGGAGTTTCCCTCTCTCGCCCAGGCTGGAGTGCAATGGCACAATCTTGGCTCACTGCAGCCTCCACCTCCCGGGTTCAAGCAATTCTCTTCCTCAGCCTCCTGAGTAGCTGGGATTACAGGTGAGCACCACCACACCTGGCTAATATTTATGTTTTTAGTAGAGATGTGGTTTCACCATGTTGTCCAGGCTGGTCTCGAACTCCTGGCCTCAAGTGATCCCCTCTCCTCAGCCTCCCAAAGTGCTGGGGTAACAGACGTGAGCCACTGCACCTGGCCATAAACCTTAATAGTGTTCTGTATCCTCACCTTTTCTTTCTTGTATCACTTAAAGAAAGAGTCTAGGTAGTTATGTTTAGTCATTAAACATTTGCCCAGTATCCACTCTATTCCTGAGGTAGGAATATACATGTAGGTAATTCTCTTTCCTAAGATAGTCACAGCCCGTAAGATGTGGATCCTGTAAAAAACTGCTGTAAAAGGTATAACAACATAATGAGGATAATAACAACATGTGAAGAGCAGTAGTCTTCATTAATGAGCACTTGCTCTCCATCAAGTCCTGTGTCAAGGACTTTTCATGTATATTACACTTAATCTTGACCTCAATCTTGTGACTTAGGGACTTACAGGATTCTCATTTTATAGAAAATTGAGACTGAGAGCTCAAATAAGAGGTAGAGCTGGGATTTGAACCCAGAATGTGCATTTAGATTCTACCAACTTTGGCCTCTTTTCTCCCCACCTTCCTTCAAATGGGTGGACTCATCCAGGGCAGGTCTAGAGAGCCTTCAGCCCCCTCCCACGTCCTCTCTGACCTCTTGGTTTTCCCAAGTTCATATGTTTCTGCTGAACAAGCACTGCTGCTCTGACCCACCACAAATTTAGCTGCTGAGCACGTGTAGAATCACATCGTGCTTTTAACTGCAGGCAAAACCCATCCCCCTGGGAACTGTCCCAGTTTGAGGGTTAAAAAAAATAGGCAGTCATGTTAAAATAGAGATAAATACTATAGACAGAGAGAGACATGAAAATAGATCCAGGAGGGATGGTAGATATTCTATCTAAATAGATACCAGAGATAAATACATGGAAACCATAGATAATTATTGTAGGGAGTTATGCTCAATAGGAGACTCTGTGGATAAATATATAGACTTCACAGATAGTAGAATAATATTGAGGAAGTGAAAAAAAATGGCGTGTGGGAGTCTGTACAACTCTGAGGGGCTGTGCTGAATGGGACTGAGCCCTCAGCACCACGTGTTGCATGGAACTGATCCAAGGGAAGGTCTGAAATACACAGGCAGCTTGCATACTTCCAGAAGCCATGCTGTACACTGGGTAGAAGGAGTGAGTGGGATTAATTGAGGACTGTGTCAGTAGGGCTGGAGTGGGATGGGGGATGATGAAGGCAGACCTGGGAGAATGTGGCAAGGTTGAGCCTTTTAAGTTGATGCAGGAATGTGGAAGGGCCAGTGGAGCCTGGGAGAAAGGAACTACTTGGAAAGAGGAGTAAGGATCAGGCCTTTCCAGCCACCCTACTAACTGACCTGTGTAGGTGAATCATTATTTTGGCAGGCTGCCTGTACAAGAGTGGGGAATGGGGGCATATGTCAGGAGGTTGCTGCCCAATGTAAGAACCACAGAGAAGAAAGTCCATCCCAGGCTGGCACTGTTCCTGTCTTTGACGATCATGGCTCTACTGTGATTGAACATGGGATTGGCCAAGGCTCTGCCTGCAGGTCCTCAGGGCGGGTGATGGACAGCTGGGATAAGCTTGGGAGAGGCACTCACTCATATGTGCTTCTCCCCTCCCTTGTCTCTGTTCTTCTCTTCCCTGTCCATCCAGGAGGCTGCTGGGAGGACTTTGCAGTTCTGTTGGACAAATGTTCCTATACTGTTTGGCTGTGGAATTTTTCATTCAAGGGCCTACGAAATGGGCAGAAGAGAGCTGTGGGTGTGATTCAGAAAGGCAGGGCTGTGTGTCCATTTCTCTATGGGCTTTCAGCTCTTTATTGAAACAACTGAGTAGGAAGGGGATCTGCAATCATTAAGTGTGACCTTCACATCCAGATGGTGATCCCATCTCAGTATCTTACTCTCCTTTCCCAGATGAAAGGGAGAGATATCTACTGTCATGGAGGAGGAACTTGTCTTTAATGGCCAACTACCCATCATTCTCCCTACATGTCTGACGTGCCCATTGAATATCTAGCCTTGTTCTGGGGTGAGTTAGGGACTATGGAGAATAGAAAAAGCAAGGTCTTTATCATCAGAGAATTGACATTAAAATAGTTTATGCTAAAAAGCCAAGCTACAGTTATCTCTCCATAGGGGAGAAAAAACCCAGATAGTTGCTGCTTTTGTATCAGGAGTTTTGCCTTCTACACATGATTTAGTTACTATGGCGTTCTCTAAAATGTCATAAGGCCCAGATGTGCTTTTCAGGGCTTAGCCCTGACAGTAGGCCATTTTGGCAAAGTCAACTTCCTCTGTAAATCAAGGTCTCTCTTTCTTTGTTTGACAAGGCTTATGATGATGTGATTCATGAGGCATGAAGAGGATCAGACAAGGGGTATACTGGAGAAACTCAACAGGTACTAACACTACCTTATTAGAGAGTTTCAGATCAGCCAGTTCAACAGAGAACTTTAGGTACACATCTCCTGTGGAGTTAAAATTCCTTACCTGTTTGTACATAAGAGAGGTTCCCATAAATAAGACGGAAACAGTTCCAAAGAACTTTTCTAATAGGAACTTGGCTAATCAAGTTTCTAGCTGGACTTGTACCCAGAGGATTTATGAGAACAAAAATCATGGGGACAGTCATCCAGATGGCATCTGGTAGGGGTATAGGTTCTTCTCCAGCAATATTCTGGGGTATCTGCCCAGTCCTGGCTGTGTGGAACACCCCTCCCTCCACTCCAGGCAGGAGGGAGGGTGTCCCAGAGAATGGGTAGCCCTAAGCAACCATCTGGTCACCAAGCAGAGCCTCAAACCACCTGATTTGGGGACAGGGACCATATGGGCTTTTCAAGGTTCTACCTTGCTTACTTTTGACTTTAGTCTTAAAGTGCTCTGAACTGGAAACAGGACTAAGAAGAACGTTTTCTGCTAGAGAGCTAGAAGCTATGATTATATGGATTTCTTCCCCTGGTGTTGGATGCTCCTGGTGGTGGGTAGGACCATGATCCTGTGGACAGAGGATAGGGCCAGAACTTTCAGTGCTTGGTTGGCCTCCTATCAGTGAGGTGCTAAGGTGACCTCTACCCTCTTTCTATCATGGGTAGAGGAAATACAATCCTGGAGCTTGAATTGGTGCCTGTAAAATTCAGGGAACACTACTGAGCCATACTGGGGTTAGTTATCGTCACATAGTTGTCATAGATCTTGATTCAGTACAAAAACTTGTTATCAAGCATATGTTATGTACCTGCAAATGAGCCAGGCTTTGGAGATACGAAGAAAAGCAAGATGAGATCTCTGTGCTTAGAAAGCCCTCAGTCTGAAAGTATTATTCTTACTTACAATTCCTTCCTCCCTCTCAACTGTCAGGAAACTATGTGTTGAGGTTCATTTAGCCCATTGCATGTGGGTAAGGGTGAAGGAGGCAGGGAGCCCTAAAGTGAAGAACAGACACTGAGTCTAGAATGGGACTGGGACCTCAGCAGCAGAGACCCCCATAACCTCTTTTGAGCTAAGTTTAGGCTCTTCTTGAAAGCTCCTTGGTTCTGTCATGTCCACCCTCTCGCTCTGGACTGCAGTGGAGGGGGCACTGGAAGTTACAATGTGGTAGCTATGGGCATAGAAACCAGACAGACCTAGACCAGAGTCCTAGCCATGCATGATGGAGCAAATTCACCAACCTCCATGAGACTTAGTGTCATGATCTGTGAAAAGGGATAATTGTAGAACCTACTTGATGAGGCTGTGGGAGTGTAAAATGGGACAGTGCATTAGAGAAAAAAAAAGAACCAACAGTAGAGAATGTGGAGGTTGTCGATGTGAAGTTTGCAGCTGGAGTAAGGAAGGGTGTGGCCTTGAAGGACGAGCTATAAAATCAGTTGGTCCATCTCTAGGTGATGGTATTAGATTTTTAAGGCAGCCATAACAAATTACTGCAAACAGCATGGCTTAAAACAATGGAAATGTATTCTCTTACTGTTTTGAAGGCTAGGAGTTTAAAGTAAGATATCAGCAGAGCCATGCTCCTGCCAAAGGCTTTTTAAGAGAAATCTGTCTTTGTCTCTTTCAGCTTCCAGTGGCCCAGACATTTCTTAGCTTATATCTGTATCACCCCACTCTCTGCCTCTGTCTCACCTGACCTTCTTCTCTGTGTCTCTGTGTCCTTTTCTGTCTTTTATAAGGACATCTGTTGTTGGCTTTAGGGCCTGATCTAACCCTGTACGATCTCATCCCAATCCTTATTTTAATTATATCTACAAAGACTCTATTTCCAGATAAGGTCACATTCTGAGGTTTGAGGTGGACATATGTCTTTTGGGAGCAGAAGACACTGTACAAGTCACTACAGTGACCAAGACAGAAGCAAAAGTAGTTCTATTTTCATCCAATTCATCTGTTTCTTCTGAGCTCCAGGTTATTTGGCCTTTCATGACAGGAGAAAAGAAGTTGTGGGGAGTGGTTCATTCATTCTTCCACCTATTCAACACGTATCCATTGAACACCACCACATGCGAGATGGAAACGGTGCCAGGCATTGGAGCCATAAGATAAAATAGATATGTGCCTGCTAGAGGCCTGGTTCAGTGCTCAGTTCTAGCTACAGATGTGATGGACACACTCACTGTCCCAGGATAGCTCAGTCTCCAGGAGAAGGCAGGCGGGTCATGAGGTGAGGACCAGCTACAGTGCTAAGAGTTCTGACAGCCACCAGCCAGGGCTCTGCGATCACAGCAGAGAGACACCCAGTGGGGAACACGGGTTGTCCACAAAGGCCTCCTGAGAAAAGTGGCTTCTGGGCTGAGTGTTCAGGGACATACAGAATCCATTAGTGAGAGAAGCTGTCTTCAGACAGATTGGAAATTTGTAAAAATGGGAGACTTGAGAGAACAGGACAGTTTAGAGAGCCACCAACAGCTCTGTCTGGCCTTGATGCTTGCATGAGTTGGTGACTGGAAAGCAAGAAATGATGTCGGGCAGGGCTTATCTTCATCCTTGTCATCGTCATTGTTGACATCACTGGCAGGTATGGAGCACTCACTATGTGCTCCTATGAAGCACCAAGCACTCTTAACACTTCACCTGAATTAATCTTCACAGCAAACAAATAAGGGAGTTGCACCCCAGGTTTATAGATGAGCTGAGTTCAGTAATCTGTCCAAGGGATGGAGCCCAGTGTTGAACCACAGCATAAGGAACTTGGCTGTTACCCCCATCCCCAAAGCACTGAAAGTGTGTGTGTGGGTGAGGGGGATGGGGAAGCCCCCCTACTCACCACACATCTTTACATGAAGGAAACAAGATAATCAGAAGTTCAAATGCCTAGGATTCTAGAATGGGGGGCCTTTGGCCTTTGGCACAGGGGAAGCTGATAGAGTGGGCATATGAAGAGAGAAACCCAGGGCTGACCCTCAGTAGCCCAAGGAAAGCAATGTTCTCACCCTTCTAACAAAAATAGTAATGGAAGCAATGACAGAAATGATAATAAAGATAGAATTCATTTGGCTGTGAGTAGCAGAGAAGCTCCAAATAACAATGGCTTTTTGAAAATGGACATTTACTTCTGTTTTGTGAAAAAGAGGTTTGGAAATAGGCAGTCCAAGGTTTTTATTTTGGTTTGGTGATCATCGGGGTCCTTTTATCTAGGGGCTCTGCCATCTTTACCTTGTAGCTTCATTGGCTAAATTGGCAGCTAGGGCTCCAGCCATTGCATCAGCATTTCATGTGCAGGAGGGAAGGAGGGCAGAGATAGGCCTACTTCATCCTATTTAGGGAGACTTCCTAGGAATTACTAGCCAAGACTTCTGTTTATATCCCATTGGCTGCAAGGGGAGGTGGGAAATGTAGTCTTTATGTTGGGAAGACATGTGCTCAGCTAATAACAATGGGAAAGGGGTAGGAGGCACCTGCTAGTCAATGCCAGAAACTGTTATCATTTATGGAGTACTTCTTGCGCAAAACACTTTCATCCTTGTAACACACCTCTGTGGGATATACTACAGTTGTCCCTCAGTATTCATGAGGGAATGGTTCCAGAACCCACCTCCCCGTTCTGCGGATGATGGATGCTCAAGTCCCTGATGTAAAATGGTACAGTATTTGCATATAACCTACACACATCCTCCCGGAGACTTTAAAT
The DNA here is from genome assembly GCF_000001405.40 of Homo sapiens. NCBI lineage: Eukaryota > Metazoa > Chordata > Mammalia > Primates > Hominidae > Homo > Homo sapiens. Next base: position 88,062,103 of record NC_000015.10, on the reverse strand, counting down.
CATCTCTAGATTATGTATAAAACTTAATACAATGTAAGCGCTACGTAAATAGTTGTTATCTTGTATTTTTAAAAAATTTGTATGATTTTTTATTTTGTTAATTTTTATTTTTTTCCAAATATTTTTGATCTGCGGTTGGCTGAATCTGCAGATGTGGAACCCACAGATACCGAAGGTCGATTGTCCTATTATTACCCCCGTTTGATGGATAAGGGGCCTGAGGCTCAGAAAGGAAACTGAGGCCACAGCATGAGGAAGAGGCAGAGCTGAGTCCCAAGCCCAGCTCTGAGTGCCTCCACAGACTGGCATTTTCTCCATGAAGCTCTCCTGCCTCACAGGGGACTCTAAGAAAGGGTTCCAGAACGGAGCCTCCGGGCCCTGGAACCAGCCCAGCCTCTCTGACGTCTGCTCTGGCCTGAGTTCGCCACCCTGCCAGGCACCAGATGAAGAAGCAGGAAGTGGGAAGGACTGGCTTAGTGAGCCCTCGCCCTGCGGGGGCGTGAGTGTCCGTGGGCCCATCCTCTCCAGCCAGGCATGCCACATGGGTTCCGGCTGCCACTCTGCTCCTGCTCCTGCTCTGTGCCGCTTCTCTGTATTATCAGCCTATTCTAACCTGTTGTGGGCCTGCATTCAAGATGCTCTTAGCAGCCACGGGCTGACCCACCCCACACCTTGTGGAGGGCAGCACAAGCATTCCGTGTCCCTTCTGACCACTGGGGGTCAAGTAGACAATTCATTTAGTGGCGGGAGTGAGGCCGTGGCAGGGCTCCCTCCTCGGAGCTCCATTTGATGGATAAGCATTCAAACTTGACCGTACTCTTTTCCTGTTGCAAGTCCAGATTTCATGGTCAGGTGAAAGTTAAATTTATTCATTTATTTTACCTTTATTAAAAGCATCTCTAATGAATTATTGTTTTTTTTCTTTTAGTTGGTTGGGGGTAAGCTGACTTTCTTGGCAAACAAGTTATTACCTGATGCCAGATTTGAAAGCCGCTCAACAAGGGGGTCTCTTTTTGAAGTATTAAATATTTCAACATAAAAATCAATGAAGTACCTGAAAAAATGGAAGTAGATGAACAAATTAAAAACAACTTTTTTTTCTTAGTGAAGACTATTTTAATAGTTGAAAAAAAAAGGGAAAGAGGAAAGAGGAGAGAAACATCAGACAACCCTTGTCTGATATCAAGGTGCAAAAATAACCCACTTTGAAATTTGGGGATATATTGATAGTAAATTTAAGATGATACCAATGGCTAAAAGTAAATATTTTTTGAGCAAAAATAACTTCTTACACTTGGATTATGCCTCCTTCTTTTCTTTCCTGGGTGATGAAAATAGCCTGTGACTGGGGCTTCTTGCTTCCACTTCTACCCCAACCCATGGTCTGTTCTGCACACAGCAGCCTGAGCCATGTGATGTAAGGGACAATTAGCTCCTGCTGTTCCCCCGTGCTCAGTTCCAAGGGCTTCCCATCAAAGTGCCTGCTCTTCTGGATGGTCCCCATGGTCATGCACGGCCTGGCTTGGGGCTGCCTCTCTACCCTGTCTCCCCCTTATCTTGCCACTGGTCACTTCCCCTCAGTCACGCTAGCCCCCTCACTGTTCCTTGACCATGCAGCCTCCTGTTTCCCTGGGGACTTTGCACGTGTGCTTCCCACCATGGAGAACAGGCTTCCCTGAGATGGTCTCAGGGCCCCCTACTTTTTTTTTTTTTTTTTTTTGAGATGGAGTCTCATTCTGTCACCCAGGCTGGAGTGCAATAGTGCAATCTTGGATCACTGCGACCTCCACCTCCTGGGTTTAAGCGAGTTTCCTGCCTCAGCCTCCCAAGTAGCTGGGATTACAGGCAACTGCCACCATGCCTGGCTAATTTTTGTATTTTTTTTAGTAGAGATGGAGTTTCACCATGTTGGCCAGGCTGGTCTCAAACTCCTGACCTCAAGTAATCTTCCTGCCTTGGCCACCCAAATTACAGGCGTGAGCCACCTCACCCAGCCACAGGGTGCCCTCCTTCACGGCAACCAGGCCTCTGCTAAGATGTCACCTCCGTGAGGAGGCTTCCATGACCTTCCAGACTCGGTGGCTTTAACAACAGAAATCTATTCTGGAGTTCAAGCTCAAGGTAGTGGTAGGGTTGGTTTCTTCGAATGCCTCTCTTCTGGGCTCTTCTCATTGTATCTTCACATGGCCTTCCCTTTGTGTCTGTCTAGTCCTAAACTCCTGTTCTTCTAAGAAGGACACCAGTGACATTGGGTTAGGGCTTGCCCTAATGACCTCATTTTAACCTAGTTATCCCCTTAAAGACCTTTTCTCCAAATCCAGTTACATTTTGAGGCCCTGGGTGTTATAACATTAACATATAAATTTTAGGGGGGGTCACAATTTAGCTTGTAACACCTAGTGTCCTCTTTATCCCCCGACCATAGCTCTGGGTAGAAGCAGGTCTCACTGCACACACGATGGGTGTTATGGAAAATGGTGCAAACTTCCCGGCAGCATGTTCCTTGTCCTGTGTTGATTGAGGTGCCTGGGGGTGCTTGCCAGAGAGTTTGGAGCTGTGCACAGAGTGGAATATGAGTGGAGCATGTGCAGAGTGAAGCATGCATGGAGAATATTTATATGGGCCTGGAATAATGTGCATTTTGTTTCAGGTGTGTGCCTATAACTAGGGGTTTATAGGTGATAGAGGAGCAACAATGAAATGAACATGTAGGATGTGTGTACTGCTTACCAAGTGAACTCCTGGCTTGGGGTACAAAATCATTGTATGTTCTGGACTCTTGTCTCCCAGCAGAGCCATCGCTGATCTATCTGAATTACAGATTAGCTGGCACCGAAGGGACTGCAGAATCCATTTAAATGGATAGCTCTCTAATTTATTAAAGGGCTTATTTATGCTGTTGATATCGGGTGCTCATCAAATTCTTGGAGTGGCACAAGCCCCTTTCCTGCCCTCTGCTTGCCATTGCTGCTGGAAGATTTTCTCTTTTCCAGGAGAGCTCTAAATGGCTGTAGCCAGAGGGCTGTGTGTGTGTGTGTGTGTGTGTGTGTGTGTTTGTGTGTGAGTGAAATAAAGGGGCCATGCACCTTCTGTGGGCTTTCCATGTTTCTTGCAGCTTTGCAATTAGCTTGCTGCTGATGGTGAACATCTAAATCTCTGGAAGAAGCTAGAGTACCACATTTTTCTCTGCTGGCTCAGAGGAGAATGAAGGTGGACACTTGGCTGACAACTAGGTCCTCCCTTTACTGCCTCCATCATCATGATAATTATCATCATCATCATCCCATGTGCAATGACATTGAGATTTCTGGAATCTGACATGTAGCTCTTAAATTGCTTTCCTGAACATGACCCTGCTTCAGACTCTTCCAGCCATGTGGCTTGTGGGCAGGTTAGGGGAGGATGCAACAGATGGGGATGGATATATCTGTGCATTCAAGAGTCCTTCTGCTGGGTTAGCCGGATAGTTCTGTTCTCAGGAACGGGCATTGGGGCATGGTGGAGGGTAGTGGTGCTAGGTGTGCTTTGGGCCAGAATTTTGGGAAAAGAAGTTAAAAAATGCCAATACTAGGGGTCTTTCTGGAAAGGAGAGAGACCCACAGACAGAACTTCCCCTGTTTGACCTAGGACTTGCACTAACCTTTGACCTTTGGAGGAAAGATGTTCAGTCCCACTTATGATAACAACCTAATAAATACCAAACACTTTTCACATATTCATTTAACCCTCAAAACAATCCTATGAGGTTGGCTATCATATCATTACCATTTGATTGGTGAAAAAACTGAGAGACGTTAAGTAACCTCCCCAAGGCCTCTCATCTAGTCAATGGAGAAAGTGGGATTTGAACTCAAGAACTGTCTGACGTCGTAGTCCTGGTGCTTACCTGCCACTCTGGACTCTTTCCCCTTTGGCCAAAGCGATCCAAGTTCCTACACACTTGCTCCTGACCCTGTCAAAGTCCAAGGCCCCAAGCTGTGCTTCCTGCCATCTGCTCTTGCCTTCCCCTTGCCAGGCAGAATGATTGGCTTGCAGAGCCAGTGAGATCTCACCCAGAGAGAGCGAGCTTTGTCACCCCGTGGCTTCTGGGGTCTGAGCATCTGCTCGGCTCTCCGTCCCTGGCCCGCCCTTTTCCTTTGCAAGTGATTCACTGTGTCAGTGGTGTGTCAGCCCCATACTGGCAGCAGGCATCTCCCAGCGTATCATCAGAGACAGAGGAAGAGAAAGACAGAAGAGAGCAATGAGGGCAATCCGCCTCCCTCAGAAAGATATTGGGAGTCATTTTGAATGGGCTTGACAAAGGACTAGGAACAGCTCAAAAGGTGTTCTGCAAGAGGCTATGGGTGCAGCCCTGGGTGGCTGGAAGTGGGAGTCAGGGTTTTCCCGGCAGCTCACAGCCCCCAGGGGCAGAGCAGGGCACTGGAAGGCACTGATCATATTTCCCTGATGCTCCCCTGAGGTTGTAGTCAATAGCAATGTAGAAGGACCTTTGCTCTCCTTGAAGGTCACCAGGAGCTTCCCGTTGCTCCACCTTCTGGAATTGGCCAAGACACTCAAAGAACAGCCCTTGCTCAGGACACATTTCTTTCTTTTTTTTTTTTCTTTTTAGAGGGAGTCTCGCTCTGTCTCCCAGGCTGGAGTGCAGTGGCACAATCTCAGCTCACTGCAACCTCCACCTCCCAGATTCCAGCGTTTCTCCCACCTCAGCCTCCTGAGTAGCTGGGATTACAGGCACCTGCCACCACGCCCGGCTAATTTTTTGTATTTTTAGTGGAAACGGGGTTTCGCCATGTTGGCCAGGCTGGTCTCAAACTCCTGACCTCAAGTGATCCGCACACCTCGGCCTCCCAAAGCACCAGGATTACAGGTGTGAGCCACTGCACCCAGCCCTCAGGACACATTTCTTTTTTTCTTTTTTTCTTTTTTTTTTTTTTTGAGACGGAGTTTCGCTCTGTCGCCCAGGCTGGAGTGCAGTGGCGCGATCTCGACTCACTGCAAGCTCCGCCTCCCGGGTTCACGCCATTCTCCTGCCTCAGCCTCCCGTGTAGCTGGGACTACAGGCGCGCGCCACCATGCCCGGCTAATTTTTGTATTTTTAGTAGAGACGGGGTTTCACCGTGTTAGCGAGGATGGTCTCGATCTCCTGACCTCGTGATCCGCCCGTCTCGGCCTCCCAAAGTGCTGGGATTACAGGCGTGAGCCACCGCGCCCGGCCGACACATTTCTTTGTGTTCTTGATACCATATGAATGAGATTATTGCTTAAGTGAGGCTGATCATCAGAAGGGACTTTGTCACAACCCTAAGCCAACCAGGAAGAACATGTTGTCGACTCTCTGTGGAGTCACCCCAATGGGGAGATACTGAGAAAGTGCCAAAGGGTTTTCCGGACAGGCTATCTTGCCTCAGAGATTCTCAGACCATGCGGAACCATGCTAAGGCTTTGTGGAAGGAGGGAACGAGTGAGCAGCACATTTCTGTGAAAATGCAGTCTTTTTGTCATATTTGAAATTCATGTGAGATTATTTTAATTCTTGAAACAGGTTTCTTCTCAGCTCTAAATTATGATCTCAGCATCAAATTGAAGCAGTGTCTTTGTTCCCAAGTGAAACGAAGGCCCCGAGGCAGATAATAAACTACATAAGTACTGTTAACCATAGGTAGAATATTTACTGTACTTAATTTTCTACATTTGGACCATGAACAAAAAAATAGAGAAATTTTATCATCTCCCTTCATCTCCAACCTATGCCCTGAAAATTTTCTTATTATTAATATTTAAAGCCCATCACTCTGCATGAATCATTGGCTATAAAAAGACATAAATTTTGCTCTATTTCCATTTTATACACATATTTCTTTAACTCTTCCATATGATCAAGGTTCTACATTAAAAAAAAAATATATATATATATATATATATATATATGAAAACAGTCTGTGCTTGTAATGCTTCACCCACGTTGTCCTAACTGATTTGTTCAGTTGAGAGCTCCAGGAGGCTTAACCAGCAGAACCCAGGGGCCTGCCATGCTCCTTTGTTTCTTTCTACTGCCTGCTTTCTCTCCAGTTTGCCCACAAGTCATGCCTTAACCTACATGCAGTACTATCCTGCTGCCGGGGCACTTTTCTTTGCCAGTGGCTTCGGTTGGCTCATCTTAGTGACAATGGGAACGATAAGATAGAAGTCCCTTTCAGTCTGATTCTCCTTTATCAAGGCAACAACCTGAACTCTAAGTCTGTTCCAGCTGCTAGGGGAGGAAAACGTTGACTTTGGATTTTAAAAACCTTGAGGCTGCCCCGTTTAAATGCCTCCTTTCCCAGTCTAGGTATTTTGCAGCATGGAACCAGAGAGGGCTGGTGCCTCAGTATTGGGTGAATACACTGGAAATCCTGGGTTCTCATGTTGTTTGGTTGATTGAGTGAACTTGGGCAATTCACTGGGTCTTAGTTTCATCACCGATTGAAAGGGCGGCTTGTCACCTACCTTATCTATGTCAGAGAGTGATTGGGAGAGGGAAGCAATGAGCCAGTGAATGTGAAAGTGCTTGGTTCCATGAAGCGCTATGCAAATCTAAGGAGATGCTGTGATGATGAAGATTATAATGATGATGATGTTTTCAAGGGTCATTGAATGAATATATTTCATATTTCCAGGAAATATGTTATTTGATTGTTCATATGAAATTGCATTATTAGAATCTGAGTTTGAGTCCAGTCCAAAAATTGGGAAGTGCTTTTTCTCCTAGAACTGCCAATGATTCACCAGTGGCACTGTTTGGATGTGGTCATTAAGATGCCACATGTCCCCATCTGTCTACTCCTCCCAGTTTAATTTTTTAAGTGGCACAGATCTTCTTTAATCTCTTTCCAATAGAGAGGTGGGGAGGGTGAAGAGAGACTGTTGGCAAAGAGCTTCGAGTTCCTCTGCAGAAGGCTGAGGCCATGGGGGTCTACCACAGGGCCTGGGATTGGCATTCATTACCAGAATCTAAGCTCACTGGATGCACCACACCCTCACACAAAACACCTCCCCCTTCCCTCTGCCAGTTCATGGCTTTGTAAAGCACAGGGAAGTGTTTGGGCTCTGAGGTTAGCTACATAGGAGTTGAAATCCCAGCTCTGTTAATTTCTACCTGCTTGGTGTGGGCAAAGATCTACATCTCTCTCAGCCTCAGTTTTCTCATCTGCAAAATGGTGATATTAAGAGTACCTTTCTCATGGAAGTGCAAAAATCACTTGCACTTTGGAAAAAAAAATACATGCAAAGAGCACAATGCCTGAAACATAGTAAGCACTTGTTGAATGTTTGCTGCTATTATTATTATTGTTATCATCATCATCATCATCATCAATATTTTCAGAAGCTAGGAGCATTTCTATATAACCCACTGACCCAGGGGGAAATTGAGATCCAGGAGTATTTTGGCCTCATCTCTGGGGTTGCCCTCATAATGTTAGCTACCAAGTGCTTTGCAGAAACTCCAGAACTGAAATAGGAGGTGCCATGCTGTCATATTTTGCTATTTCTGTTCTTTAATTAATTCTAACTGTCTAATTGTATGGGATGCCTGTTGAGTTGCTCATTTTGCAAGACATGAACTCTAGGATGTCTCTACTATAAAGGAGCCTGCATCTCATCTGGTAGGGCACCCAAGAGCTTATAACCAGCTGCAGGTCAATGTGGATTGCTCATGTGTGGGGCTGAATGCCAGGAATGAGGAGTTCTGGCTGGGACCGGGGTGGGCAGAAGCAGAGGACACTTAGATCAGAATTTGTAGAGGAAGTGGCTGTGAACTGGGTCAGTAGATATATAGAACACTATGTCTACCTTATATTAACTTTCCAACAAATGGTAGTTACTAATGTTATTATTTAATGGTTTGCTCGCAATAGGCATTCAATATATTTTTTGGATTGACTGATTGCCTAAAACTGGCAGTACAAACAAATGAGGCAGGTTTTATTATTCCCATTTCTTTTTGCCCAGAACGGCCTCTGGTTTATATTGAACTGGGCTCAATGCTCATGGTGATGGAACCAGTCATAACACCACTTGTTGAATTATCGGCTTTATTTTCCCCTTAGATTTGCAGCCCAGCACATTCTATCTACCTTGGCACAGAAGAGAGCAAACCTTTCTATCAGCTTCCTGTAGTGTCATATTAATCAGTACCTTTTTTCAGAGCCTGGTCTCAGGGAAGAGAACTTGAGGCAAATTGCCAAAGGACATGAAATTCTGATTTTTACCAGTTCCATTAAGTATAGCCTTTCATTTTGATAAGGTATTTGTACCCATGTCTGAACTTAACAACTCTATTAATTACTAATATTTATCTAGCCCTGGCTATGTGCCAGGCACTGTGCTAAGTATTTTACACATATTTCTTCATTTAAATCTCATAACAACCTTAGAATCTTTGTCAAGTAGGTGCTATTATTTTCCCTATTATTGATATGGGAATACTGAGGCAGAGCGAGGGCAAATAACTTGCCCAGCTGAGGTCCCAAAGAACTTGGGAGGTCTCCCACCATAGCCCATACCCCTGACCAACGTACCTATGGCCTCACTGTATGTTGGGCATCAGATCCATGGTCAGATTGCTCTTGTCAAATTCAGAGTGAAGTACAGGCATGTTGGGTTGCTGGTTTCAAGGACTGTTCTTGACAAATACCCTTTGCATGGTCCGGCTGTCAGTCCCAGGAACCCTCTTAAGTCCACTGTAGCCAAACCCTTCTATTTAGTAGGTATGAGGTCTCCGGCCTTGGCTATTAAGTGGAGCCTCCACACACTGACTGTGGGACAGGCCCTTTGAATCTCTGAACTCCTATAACCCTTGTGACCTATATAAAATTAGCCTCATTACTCTCTGCCCCCTTACCCTGCTGCACCTTCCTTTGTGGCTGCCAGTACCACTAGACAAATGACATATATTTATTGGTTTAGTTATCCACATTCTGTTGCCCTCCCCTTAGAATGTTATTGCCATCAAACAAGGGCTTTGTTTTGTATCCCCAGTTCCTAGAACAGTGTCTGGCACATAGTAGGTTCCTAATAAATGTTTTGAGAATCTGATAAATGGACACTGTTGAGGGGAGGCTCATTTTCCCAGTTTTCCAGATAGGAAACCAAGGCTCAAAGAAGTTAAGCCACTTATTTAAAGTTACACAGCTAATAAGGCTTCCATACTGATCAGCTGATAGATAACCCCTTGGGCCCAAATTCTCTTAATATTTTCAGCTCCTTGTTCCTAAAATACCTGGAATGTGACAACCTGTTCGATGGGTGAGTGCTTCCGTTGCTGCACCTCCTTGGCCTGTCATATGTGCTAGCAAACTTCTGCACCTATACTCCCCTCCCTGACACCCTCCACCTCCATTACCCAAAGATTTTTCACTTTCCATCTCATTTCTCATTGATTTATTAGCATAAGCCATTTTTAGCTCACTATTATAATAAATCTATTAACTCCCAGTGATTACAATCAGCATTAATTACATCTAACTTTAAAGTATCATACAATGCATGGCTGTAGGGAAGACTCCACTCTTGGATGTGGCAGCCCCTGACACCTCTGACAGCAGATGTCTGGATACCTCTTTGAAAGACGCCCATGGGCTTTAGCATGTTGGAGTTAGAGTCATAGCGTGCTTACTCCAAACTAGAGAATTGGCTTTTCGGTCTGACTGACCAGGGTTCCAACTAATTTTTCCCCTTTCTAGCCATGTGTGCTCAGGCAAGTCACCTCATCTCTTGGAGCCATAGCTTCCTATTTTCACCATGTTACTGGGAAATTAAGAAATGGCAGCCATGCTGATGTCTCACCCAGCCTCTCTCCAGGACGTGATAGGGGGTGATGGATCCCTGTGTTGAGTGCAGGCTACCTCCTGTCCTATTCTTGGAGCTATTTTAGATGTACACCTGGAAATATTTATGACATCACTTATTCTATAATACATTTCCCCTTTATGTATGGAAATTAGGGAACTATGTTCATCCAGCATAGTTAACAGGGTTGTCCTTTAACATTTATTGGGTCCTTACTAAATGCCTGGATAGGTGAAGAATCAGGCTAAAGTCCATGGTAACCAAGAAGAGTTAGCCAGTCTTTCAATTATGGTGCTCTTCTCTACATCTAATAAAGCTCATTCCTTATTTGCATTATTAAGTCCTCTTGCTTTGATGAGAAGTGGGAAGCATTGGCTAACTGTGATCCCCTAGCATGGAATGGAAGACTTTAGGGCATATAGATGCTGTCATTAGTGGCTATATTAAAAGAAGAACCTGTCACTTAAATCAGTAATTATCATGGGGGTTAAAAGTATTAACAGCAAAGTTCTTGAGTTAGCTAACCACTGTTTTTTTTCTTTTTTACTTTACTAGAATTATTTTTAGTTAACATTTACTGAGAACTTATACCATGCCAAGGGCTTTACGTAAGTATTTTATTTAACCCCAACAATAGTCTGATGAGGGAGTTACTGTTATTAACCCTATTTATAGATAAGGAAACAAATACTTAGTTTAAGAGGCATGACCAAGATGGCATTAGTTAACAGAGCAGCAGAAATGATGCTTTTGACTGAGACATGCTCCTCATTGTGATAAACACTGTTGCCTTTTCTTAGTCAAGAGGAATAAAAGCATGGAGTCACAACAACTTCCTTCCCTGTTAAGCCTTATTCTTGGGTTGCAGAGAATCACTAGCGAGAGACAGAGAGGCAATAGGCAAACCTTGATCTTCAGAAGAGCTGCACGAATCTACAGGAAGAAATAACTGTGAGTGGGTGGAGTGGGGAGAAAGAGGAGGGAGAGTTAGGTTCAAGAAATGCTTCAAGGGAGTGGTGGGGATTGAGCTGGTTCCTGGGAGGTGTAGGGTTGGGCAGGTGGGTTGTCGGCATCAAAGCAAATGTCTTGGGCTGGAGCACAGGTGTGGCAGAGGTGGAAATGTAGATTGTGTATTTGGGGAACAGCAGACGTGTACTTTTACTCAATTGCTGGTAGGAGATGTGGTTAGTGAAATAATTAGATGACCACGGTCTTTGAATGTCAAACCCAATTTGTACATGTTTATGAATGAAGACACACCTAAATGGTATTAGAGAGTAAATTTGATGAAAATTCTGCAACAGACCCATGGAAAATATTATATATGCTCTCTTATCATATTGTTTCCTAAGTTTTCTTAAAATTATAGTTTGTGGCAGGGAGTATATTGTAGGATGAGTACAGGCCTTGGGATGGATTACATGGTCTTGGATTGGAATTCCAATTTCACCATTTATTAGCTGAGGGACAGTTGGCAGGTTAATAAAATAGTTCTGAGCCTCAATTTCTTTGTCTGTAAAATGGAAGTGATCATTGCAAGTTTGCAAAGATTAAATGAGCTAATTATTTATAAATTGCTTGGGGGCAATTTTGGCTATGGTATATACTCATCAAATAGTAGTTCTATTAAATTAGAAAGCACAGGAAAGCATAGCCTGATCCCTGAGTGGATTTTCCACAAATACTATCTGATTTATTTGTGTGTGTGAGTGTGTGTATACTACTCAGCTATGCTTTCTATACAAACACACACACACATACACACACACACACACACACACACACACACGGTATATATTGATTACTCAATCTACCTAGCTAAACTTTAAAAAGATACATGTCTAATATCTGAAGTAGAAAACATTCCATATATAAATATGCTGTGAGCCCAGGCCAAGATGGGAATGGTACCTAGGCCCATTAGAAGTCATCCATTTTTAAAATAGATGTCATTTATTAGCTTAAGGATTGTAATGTGGTGATTTTGAGAAGCATCTTGTTGGAATCCCACCTGTAAAAGTCTAGTTTTCCCCTATAGCCTGGGACACACGTGCCTTTGAATTCATGCCAACAATAGGGAAGGACAGTGAAGAAAACCCTGATATTATATTGACACTTTCTTTACTTCTCTTTGGAAGTTCTCCTGTTTATATTCTTGGTGCTTAACTGCATTAAAAAAAATTCAGGGGCAAATTGTTGGTTTAATGAATGCCTGTGCCTTCAACAAAGATACTATTATGTGAAAATAGTCAATAGCCCATTCAGAGTTTCCCAACAGATATGTTTCTAAAATTGTTGAGTGTGAAGTTTTGCATCTATGAGCGTCAGGAGCACAATGCCAAGTGTGTGCCTAGCAAAACTTCTTCACTGTCTAATGCTTTCCTATAGCTTTCTCTGGCAGATGCAGAGATGCATAATCATTGATTCTGAACCATCTTCGATTAGCAGAAACTTCTAACACTTCAAGTTTCTCTGCTCCCAACCTCTCTTTCAATTGGTTAATGATCTTAAAATACCCTCAGCTGCACCACAGTGTCTTTAAAGGGCCTGCTATTTAAAGGCACCTTGGGAGGAATCCCCTGATTCACACATTTGCATATTAGGCCAATGTTCTGAGTGTGTTTGGGAACTCAGCAGTTTCAGATAATATTGACAACAGCCTCTTGGCCAGGGTTGACATTATTCAGATAAGGCTTGCTACATACTGACCTTTTACATATATCATTTTGCTTAGCTTAAATGCTTAGGTCAGTGTCAGGATCAGCTAATTAATATTAGCTGTTAGTGAACCCCATAAACACACACACCATTCTGAAGTGGACACTTTAAAATTACATGAATTTTAAATTCCATTATAAAACACTGTGGGGTTTTTAATAGATCACCAACAAACAATATTGTTAAGCAATTAAAAAATAATAAAGCAAACCTGCTTAAATAGCTGTAACCTCACAGGGTCAAAATTATGCCTGCTGCCCTGGGAACATAAACTCTTGAAAACTAGGGGAAATAAACTGTTAAGGACTTAAAATAGACTAGGCATACTATGTAAGTATTCGAAGCATCACTTCCATGCCTCTTGCATGCGGTCCATTTGAGCAGGAGACAAGACTTGCTTTTCTGTCTCTTCAGCACCACCTTGCACTGCATTCTCAGCTCCAGGGTTGCTTCTGTGCATCTTCTATCAGGCACAGAGGAAAAGCAATTTCTACACACCTCACCAGATCTTAAAATATATCCTTCTCTGATTCCTCATTTGCCCTTGACACTGCTGGCATTTCATTTCGTCAGTGTTGTAGGGTAGTGGGAGGTTACGGTTGACCTTACAGGAGGAACTTGAAGCCTCACAGAGATAAGGTGACACCTTCCCGATTGCACACAGTTGTATTTACAGCAGTGCTGGGGTAAGAGCTTGGATTAGAACTCAGGACCCTTGTGGCATCCATCTGTTGCTCTTGCCTTCCAGGATAAATCTCCTTTCCTGGTAAGATGGTTTGACTTTTACAAGATCTTGATTTTCATTTTAATAATCCCAAGTCTTCCCCTGACTCTGCAAAGGAGTTAAATTTAAATACATAGCCTACATTTTATCTTGACATTTTCTTTAGAATGCAGGAAAAGGAGGGGCCAGATATTCAGTCTTCCCATCATGAGAGCAAAATCCTACTATTGTGTTGGAACCCTTTGTTAAGAGAGGTGTGGGGCCAAAGGCTTCTTTGCAAGCCTCCAGGCTCTCCAGTTACCCCTGCAGACACCAGGAAAAACCTGCATCCCACATTCTACATCTCTGTGGGGAATGTACCTGTGTCAGCATTAAGTGATGGGGCTCAAAGATAGTCTTGTCAGTCTAATTGCTCTTGAGTCATTGCCTCTCCTGTCAGAGCTGTCTGTCTCCTTACCCATAATCCTCATCACTTTGATAGCCCGTCAGGAATATGGGACTTTGCCCAGCCTTGCCTTCATCCAATAACGTTATGAAATTGATACTGACACTTCCATTGGCACTAATTTCTCTAAGAGATTGGAGCCAGAGGACAAGTGGTTTAGCTTCATGGCAGTTAAGCTTTCCAAGTAGATCAAGATGGCCTAAGATTGATTGACCTATACCCTGAGGAAGGAGGCAGGGAGAAGTGAACAGAGGGAGAAGAGGGAGTGGAAAATCAATGGCTGCGTCGTTGTCATCAAATGATATTTATTGACTGCCTAAGAAGGACAATGTCCTATATGGATATTCTGAGGATACTTGCTAGGCCCCTCTATAGACTGCCTCAAAGGGAGTTTAGGAGATAGGATGGAGACATGTTGGCTAGGGTGGTTCACTGCTTTACTTGTGATATTGCATCACTAGTGTCTGGAGTTCAAAACAGCAGTTGATTCTACCCATGACTATCTTTTCTCCACCTTCCACTCCCACACACAGGAGGCCTAAGTTACTTTTTATCAGGCTTACTACACCATTTTTCATCCAGACCAAAGGGGGCTCTATTAATGATGATGCTGGAACAACAGATAAACAGACTGTCCAGGGCAGATCAGGATGTGTGGTCGCCCTCCTTTTAATAGAACCAGACATCTCTGAACTGAATGAGGAGATACTCCCTTTTTGGCAGGCTTCAATTTCTTACCTGAACCATTGTTAGGTTAATGGATGCATGAAGAAACAGACTTTTGATGAGGAGGTACCGTGAAGGTGAGGAGTTTTAATGAATTGGCTAGTTTAATAATATAACCTGATCTAGACATCAGTACAAGAATAATACTATAAACTGATTGTGAGAAGTCACAAAATTTCAAAATAATATGCATTTATACATTTTCAGATGAGATCTCTGGACTTTTTTTTTCCCTTGGTACCAGGGCTAACTCACTACTATAGAATCTCCCCACCATCTACCTCACCGCACCTTTTTGGGGTATTCTGTTTGGGTGTTCAATATTCCTGGGTATATTACACATAAGTATATTATATACATCACTCATGGAAATATTTTATCTGGTGAGATGGAAGAAGGTGTAAAATTGTGAAGAAATGCAGACCAGTAATTCTCCTTACACACCTGTTCAATGAGCAGCCACGTGCTACTAGTTCATGTGTGTTCATACACATTCTTGTTCAGGGAGTGCACATGGGATTTCCGGTATGTTTATGAGGGTCTGCTGGTGGGCATGCGTGGAACCTCATTGCTTTTCCCTGTGTGACTGAAGGGGCTTAGAGTACATGGCCCTGTGGGTGTCAGCTGTCAGCCTCGCCCATGGAGCCTCTGCAGGGCGGTCAGGGCAGGCACGTAGACAGGAGCAGGTACTACAGTATATAAAGCGTGCCGTACAAGGGAAGAGATCACAGAACTGATGCGGTGTTATTTCAATTGATTTTGGTGTTGCATTTATACCTGCACATGCTGAAAATCAATCGACCCTCTGTACCCTCGCCATTCCTGCTGCAGCGCTGTTCGAATGAAATGCTTATATCATTTTTATGGCATGTCTGTGAAAGGGATGAGTGAGCCAAGAGATTAATAGAGGCTGCTGGGGCCCTTGCCCGGCTGCTGTCCAGGTGTGTGGGGAGAAGAGACAGCAGCCAAGGTTCAAGGTGCCATGAAGGTGACCCCCCCTGAGAAAACGGAGAGGATCTGTGGAACAGGAGGCTAGACAAGTCCTCTGGGGTGGGACAAGGATGAAGTATGTGGGCAGATGGAGCTACAGGCTAATGTGTTTGCTGGGTGAGGTGTCCTTCCTTGCACTGCCTTCCTCTCTGTCCTCCCCTGGTTGACTGTCTCAGGTGCTGCCTCATGTCCTGAGCGCACCTGTAACATGGTGCTCTTCCTATGTGTCATCTCTGTTGGTTTATTTGTGTGTCCCACCTGTAGACCTGGGGACCTGTTCAGGCTGAGGTTGTGTCTTTTTTCTCCCCTTTTCTAGTCCCTAGCTCAGAGCCCAGCACAGGAGAAGGTATTTGGTGAGCACATGGGCAGGAAAGGCCAGTCTGGAAGGTGTGGCATGAATCATGAACTATAGTCTGTAGGTCACTTTCAAGGATTCTAGAGGGTACATATTGCTACAGTTCCTGGGGAGCTGCTCTTGGGAGATTAAATGCCCATAGATTGAACTCCCAGTTCACCCAGAGCCTGAGATTCCTCCACATCTATCACCATCCTTATAATGCTGGTTTATCCCTTGTGCCTGCCACTGATGCTCCAGCCTGGGTGCTGAAGATTAGGCATATGGGAGACATGGTGCTGTGGGTTGAATTGTGTCCTGCAAAAAGATATGTTGAAGTCTTAATCACTAGTACCTGTTAATGTGAACTTATTCGGAAATAGCCTCTTTGCAGATGGAATTAAGATTTAAGTTAAGATGAAGTGATACAGGAATAGAGTGCGCCCTTGATCTAATTTGACTGAGGGCCTTATAAAAAGAGGAGAAGAGACACAGAAATGGACACACACAAAGAGGAAGATGCCATGCGATGAGCGGAGAAGGCTACATGATGACAGAGGTCAGAGTGATGCATTAACATGCCAAGGAATGACAAGGATTGGCAGCCACCAACAGAAGCTTGGTGGAGGCAAGGAGGGATTCTATCCAGAGTCTCAGGGACCATGGCCTGGCTGGTACCTTGATTTCCAACTGCTAGCCTCCAGAACTGTAGTGCATAACTCTGTTGTTTTAAGTCACCTAGTTTGTGTTTTGTTGTGGTTGTTATGGCAGCTCTAGGAAGTTCACAGCTTTGGAGAGGCAATGCCTACCAGTGTCTGGGGTAGCACTTGGGGCAACGTATATTTTGTAATTGCCTGTTCTCTTAAAGGGACTTTAATAGGGACGCAGTGAAATTCAGAGATATCCAGGATAGAGTCCTTGCCTTGTAGGGATTTATGATCTAGAGAATTTTAGGACCAGCTGAGAAGCTTGAATTGGGATAAGTAAGGAAATGGGCCAGTGTTGACCCCAGGACAATCAACAGCAGGATGGGTTCAAATGCAGACAGGTTCCTTACTGCTTTTTATGGGTGTATGTTTCTGATGAAAATTATAACACTGGGTAATGGCACAACTTCCAGAAGTAAAATGCCATAGGACTGCTCTGTGACTTGTCCACAAGATATCCTTGCCACAGACACAGGGTGGTGGGCTCCTGTTATAGGTCCTGAGACTTGGATGTACTATTCTAGTTGGAGGCAACACTGTGACTCAACAGAGAGCTGGGCCTGGGAGATGTGCTACCTAAGATGGGCAGGTGCCAACACCTGGTCCAGTGAGCACTAGGCAAGAGGCTACAGGAGGCCAGAAGCACCTGCAATAGTCCATCCCCTATGCAAAGGTAGGGCCTGTGGTCCCGCAGGGCATGCACAGCCCCCAGCAGAAGTACCTTCAGGGCTTGTGGAACTCAGCATGGTGCTACAGCAAATATTTTCTAATAAAAGGGAAAGTACCTCTTTGTCTGATATAAGATGATAGGGTCTGTGTCAAGCCCAGGGTGAGCTGAGTGTGAGCACACAGGATTCTTAGGGCATGGGATTGAGTTCATAATCTCAGAATGGCCTGGAAGAAGACATTGGACTTTCATGGTTTCTAGCTAACTGTAAATTCAGGCCTCATTTCAGCATCTTTGATTTAGGTGCATTATAGTTCAGAAGTGTGTTCATTCTAGACCTAGTGCTTTTGGCCGTATGATTATGTAGGTTGAGGTGGTGGTGGGGTGGGGGGGCGGGTGTGGTGGGCCAGGCGTGGTGGCTCACTCCTGTAATCCCAGCACTTTGGAAGGCCAAGGCGGGCAGATCACGAGGTCAGGAGATCAAGACCATCCTGGCCAACACAGTGAAACCCTGTCTCTACTAAAAATACAAAAAAATTAGCCGGGTATGGTGGCAGGTGCCTTTAGTCCCAGCTACTCGGGAAGCTGAGGCAGGAGAATGGAGTGAACCCGGGAGGCAGAGCTTGCAGTGAGCCGAGATCGTGTCACTGCACTCCAGCTTGGGCAACAGAGCAAGACTCCATCTCAAAAAAAAAAAAAAAAAAAAAAAAGAACATAGACTTGGGAATCCCACAGCTCCAGGACACTGCTACCTACTAGCTGTGTGACCTTAGGCAGACTGCTTAACTGCTCTGACTCTAATTATAGGACCCACTTCACTGAGCCACTGTGAGCGTTGGACAGGATCACACAGAGCCCAGTACAGTGCCAACAAGTGACCAGTGTTGGTCAACAAGTGATAGCAGACCTTAGCTATTATTATCTGTTTTACTACACAGGTATTTCAGATCATCACTCTGACTTTTCTGGGGGTGACAATATGCCATGGTATGACTCCATGTGTACTTAGAAATACTGGGAAAAGGGTTTTCTTGAGACATACCCTGGATACCCTATTGCAGTGTATGAGACCCATACAACTGTGGGTGACATATCTAGTTAGGAAGTCTTATATCAGCCAGTGCCTATAAGACCCCAAGTTCCTCCAGAAAAGGATTTTCTTCTTCTCTGCATCAGTTCTCTCTCTCTTTCTCTTCTAACTCATTGTGCCTCACTTTAATTTGAAAGAACTTCATATTGAAGCCATCCAGGATCACCTAGTGGGGTTTTAGATATTAGATTTCCCTCTTGTGACCTCCGTAAAGTCAGAGGCATTTGGGCTTAGCCCTCAGGAATTTGGGTTCTCATTCTCTTGGCTTTGGTGTTGAAATCAGATCATGCAAGTGCCAAAAGGGACATGATGTGAGTGGGTGGAGGCATGAGGACTGTAGCAGTTCAACATGGCAGCCCCTGGCACTGCATGACCTCAAGTGATGTTTCCTCCCAGTCTTCAAAAGTCCCCAGGAAGTTGGGGGAAAGTTACAGATAAATCTTTAGGGAAAATAAATGTCTCTATTTTGAGGTAACACTAGCAAGCCATAGTGGCTAGAACTGAATTTAGACATGTTGAAATTTGAACTATGATCTCTTCATGGGGCCTCGGGCCAAAAACCCAGCATTTTGTATTCCAGTCACCTTATACGTGCAATCAGAAGGTAACTACTCACTTCCTGTTGATGCCTGGGATGGTCTGAAATACTGTCTGTACAAAGAGTCTTTGGAGAAGTCTGATGGCATCTGCCTTCCCTCCAGGATGCTTGTTTTGACATTCTCAGACCCCTTGCTGCCGGCCATTCCTGTGCTATGAATTTCTGGTTGCCCCTGACAGCTACATCCTTATGCCACAGTTGTGGGTTTGGAGTTTACTGGAAATGTCATGGGCTTCTTTCCTAAACAAAGCCAGTTCTCTTACAAATGAATTTCAAGAGAGTAAAGGTTGGGAGTGGGAAGGAGAATGTGGCTGACTTGTCCTGTTGTTAGAAAAACAATACTGGAGGGTGGGGCAGCAAGGTGCTGCAGTGAAATGAGCCCAGACTTTGAAGTCAGATAGACGTGGATCTGTTTACCATTTATTAACTGTGTGATCTTGGGCAAATTATGAAGCCTTGAGCTTGAATTTCCTCAACTACATCACTGGGGATAAGAGGATCTACCCCCAGGGTTGTGGTGATGATTAAGGGAGGTAAGGGAAGCTGAGTCCAAATACCCATCCTGCCTTCCCCTTCCTTAAGTGCGTGTTCTTGGGCTGGTTGATGAGCAACATCATTTTCAATCACCAAGTGATACCTCCAAGCTATGAATGCTGCGAGGCATGAACAACGCCTTTGGTTCCTGTAAGAGGCTGGGAGGGAATTCGAGCCAGAGAATAAAGCTTATCTTTTGGGAAATGATTCAGGGAGAGGAGCGGAGAAGTGCGGAGGGCAGGCCTTGCTGTGCTGCCTGCAGGACCCCATGTGCCCCGGAGACCACAGAGGGCAGAGTCTGTCTGGAAGCCGGAGGAGGCAGAGAGGGGAGGGCCCAGAGGAACAAGTCTAGGAACAGAAGGCCATGACTAGTCCCCAGGTCTGTTCTTGAGCACAGCCCGTGTTCACTTGGCCTCTGTCCCACATCTGCCAATAAAAATTAAGAAATTGATTTTCTTTTGTTTGCCTCTGAGGACCAGCCTCTTTTTATGAGACAGTAAATGGAATCCCTCTCTGAGCATGGCTGGATTTTTAATTGTGTTTGTTGTGCTTCCACTTATTCCGTTTTATGAGTTCCTGCTCCCAGATTTGTTGATGCGAAGCTCTCGCCCACCAGGGACATGTCAGTGTTTGATTTCTATCAGTAGGAAAAGGTTGAGGTTTTAAAAAAATCATTTTCTTAATCCAAAGGTTGGCTTGTTTGCTTCATTCTGACACATTAAAAAAAGCATGAGACCCATGCAGGCTTATTTGCTTCTGCTACCCAAGTCAGATCTAAGTGGTCATGATCTGACTCTGTGGAACAGAAGATTGAAGATTTGAGCTCAACTTTGGGACAGAGAGTGGGGAGGAGGCATTTTAAAAATGGATTATATCATTGAGGACGACAAGCCCTTTTTTTTTTTTTTTTTTTTTTTTATGAGGGACTTCTGCGGAGACTTGCTGAAGATGGTGTGATGCACGCGAAGTGTCTGAATGAAGAAATTAAAGTACCATTGGTAAATGTGGAGATGTGATAGACAGCACCCCCACCAATCACAACTGCTTAAAACAATGGTGCTGCATTTTGCACGTCACCATGGCTGCGCCAGGTGTTGGCGGGAGCCCTTGCGTCTAAGTTGGCCTCACTGAGGGACTGGGGCTGAGTGGGGTTCTGTTTCATGCTTCCACAAATGCCAACCCAGGAAAAAGGGAATGTGACAAGTCACACTGGATCTTCAAGCTTCCACGTGGGAGTGATGCATCCTCACTTCTGCTTACTTTTCATTCCAAAGAAAGTGATGGGGGTACTGTTTAACTTCAAGGTGGTCCACAAAACTGCAGTCCTAGTGAGTGCCTAGATATACTCAATAAATAGCAGTCATGCTTACCACAGCTCCCAAGAGGGCTTCTGAGTTGGGAAGTGAGATTGCTGCCCCCCAACCCTACTTTGGAAGGAAGTACAAGTGTAAAGGAAGGAGTACAGGAATCGATTCTGGAGTTGGAATTGTACAATTTAAGTCTATCTGTTGGACTTGTCAGCCCAGAGCTATTTTATGTGGGCTGGTCCAACCCTGAAAATATTTGGCAGTCCATCCCTAGATGCACTGATTTAGCCCCAATCACAGGGGAGCTGGCATATCGCCTTCTGTATATAGGCTCATGTATTCACACCAAGCACTCTTTGTTTGTGAAAAATACTTGGTGTCAGCCATACTGTTGAGAAAATGGGTAGTTTGGTGTGAAGACGCAGAACTTTGGAGTCAAACAAAATGGCTTGAAATACAGGTTCCACCACTTCCTGACTAGGTGATTTTTGAAAATGACTTAAACTTATTTGAGGATAGGTTTTGTTGTTGATTAAATGAGAATAATGGTAGTTGTTGAGGATCAAATGAGATGAGAAGAAAGTGCCCAGCAACATATCTGGCATGTAGTTGGTATTTAATTAATGTCAGTTTTATTTTCCCTCCATCTTTCCTTTTCTTGTAAACCACAGGGATCCCAGCATCCTTGGGGTTCTGTCACTCCTTTGGAATTTGGAGAAGAACCACTTCTACACGTTGGCTGGGCAAATGCCCTAGGGTTGGGCCAGTGGCTGGATTTTCTTGGTGCCACATTTCTGAGGATTGTCAATGATCTGTAAGTCATAGAGTTGCTGGAAGAGAAAGGAGTTTTAGAGCCAACAGTAGGGCATTAGAGAAAATAATTCCAAGGCAGTCTTTCCCCTGATCTGAAAGAGGGAGTGAGTATTGATGTATCAGTGTATTCCCTGGGAGGCCGCTCCTTTTTCCTCCTTCATTTTTTGTGACCCACCTCTTTCCCCCTCTCTTTCTGCATTATGAACCCTGAGAAGAACTTTCCCTGGAGTCACCAAAGGCTTCTGCAGAATGGTGGTGTACCCACAGGTCCTCATGGTGACTTGTTGTCCCAGGCTCCTCTCTTGGGACTGGGGCTCAGCCCACCTGGGTGGAAGTTCATGCTACTGCAGTGAAGTTCCCTCTCCACTGTTGCCATCAGAAAGTTTTGCTTTCTCTGTGTAAAAAGTAAAATAGAGATTCCTCTTCAAAGACTTTCCTCCCCATCTAATTAGGAATAAATAGTAACTTCTCTTAGAAGCAAAATTTATTCAAAGACCTGTGCTAACATTCTTAAATATCTGCTAGCCATAATAAAGAAATCAATGTACTTTATGTTCTTAGCTCCCACAATTTAGCCTAAATATTTGCCCTGGCATGCTTATACTGGTCCAAGCAAGCATTAGGTCATAGCCTGTTCATCTTCCTTATTTGAAGGTGTTGTTACCTTTCTCAGCATTTCACAATTTACTTCCTCCTTCCTTGGTTCTCCTCTGCTTTTCCTCTTTTAAAAAGTTCTAAGTTGCTAGCCAATCATGACAAATATAGAATGTGAGGTCCCATTCCAGCCAATGGAAACCGGACACAGCAGTAGGGTGGACGTGTCAGGTTATAAATGACCCTGTCTCCTTTGTTCAATGTATTGTCGTGGCAAAACTGCTGGTGGGTGTATCTTTTCTGCAGAAAGTATAAAAACGGCCTTGCTGAGGAAATTAAATTTATGTTCAAGTGCTATTTCTTTACGGCACTGGGGAACAAGCATTTCAAACATCTGGGAACCTGAATCCCAACTTGGAATAAACCATTTATGGAATTGGAGCCATTCCTTGCTCTACACCCTCATTTTTCCCCTGTGGAAGAACAGGGAGGGGAGGAAAAGCCTCTGGACAGAGAATATGGACCATTCTGTGGGGAAAGACACCTGTCAGGGCCATCGAGTTTCTCCAGTTATCCAATGGTTCTGTTATGATATGGTTGGAAGAATAAAATCCACCGTGGATCTGAAGAAAAAAACAAGGCACCAATTTTAGAAGAGAATAATATGATATTGAGAGTCTGTGCAGACCTCTGTTCCCTTGAGGGTCTCTCTCCAAAGCTTGCATTTACTAGAAAGGCTATGAGAATGTTTCTCTTCTTTTTGATTATTAGTGTTGCATAACAAAGTAATTGTGTAATTTGGAATGGATTAGTGACAGCAGAGAGGCCGATAACAGGTAATAGGCGGGCTGTGTGTTTCTGTGCGTGTGTGTGTGTGTGTGTGTGTGTGTGTGTGTGTGTGTGTGTGTGTTGAGGGCTCAATAGACATCAAAGCTTGACTCCTCTTGACCTGCCATCCACCTCAGCAGCTTCAAGAAAATAGAAGAAAGCTGCCCAGACAGTTGAGATATTTTTCCCCCTATTACTTTTCCCTCCTTCACTATCTTAACAAATTCTTCACTGTGGTTATTAAGGTGAGAACAATCTCAGTGAGAACAAATGCTTCCTCCCCTAGAGGGGCTACAGGTCTTTGAGTTTTCCCCTGAGGCAAGTGATGTGAGAACTGGCCAGAGTTTCATGGAGTAACATGTTGGTGTCTCTCTCAGTGGTTCTCAACCTGGCACAGCTCCGTCACCACAGGGGATGTTTGGAAATGTGTGTGTGTGTTTTGTGGGGAGACTGGACTTTTTTTTTACATTTTAAAATTTTTGTCTTTTAGACTTTATTTTTAGAGTGATTTTAGGTTCACAGCAAAATCAAGTAAAAGGTACAGAGATTTCCCATCTACCCCATGCCCCTACCCATGCACAGCCTCCCTCATGATCAGCATCCTCCGCAGAGTGGTGCATTTGTTATGGCTGATGAAGCTGAGACTGGCTTTTCATGCCCAGGTCTAGGGCTGCTACATGCCTAGAACAGCCCTGTCCAAGGAAGACTTGTCTTGACCCAGTGCCAGCCGTAGCCCTATAAGGAGCCCTGCTGGACTCAGACACAAGCAGGCAGGGGCCAGTTGCAGAGGCTTCCTCTTACATCCTTTGAAGTGATGGGCCTATGTGCTTTTTATTGGGTTTTCTTTTAAGGAATGTAGTTTATGGAAGAGCAAAGGTGAGTAAGAGGGCCTTGGGAATGGGGCAAGAGTCTGATGGTGCGATGCTCTTTTCCGCTGTGGATATAGCTTAATAGGAACATTCAGCAGTGACATACATCAGAAGACATGATGAATTATCTGTAATCTATCTGGGTGAGTCTAATGAGGTGACTCACTCCCATCCCAATTCTCAAGGGTCAAGAGGAACATCTTTAAAAAGGGTCTTGGGGAGCTGCAATTGAAGGCAGCTGCTTATGAGGAAGATAATGTACCAGAATTGATCAAGTATCCCTTTGCATAAATTCTTTCCCCCACAGTCTGCACTTTCAGGGAGGCAGTGCTGGTGGAGGGTTATGAGCACAGGCTCCGGAGCCAGACTGTGAGTTTAAATTCCAGCATCACCACTTCTTTGCTAGGCATCTGTCCTTGGGCAGGTCACTGCTCTGTGCTGTAATGCCCCCGTCTTTAAAATGGGGAAAATAATGGTACCAATGTCACAGAGGCATTATAAGATTAACTCCTTTACAGAGCCTGATGTGTAGGAAGTATTCAATAATAAAAATTATTACAATCATCAGCATTTCTCCAACTAACTCCTCAACTCACTATAATTTGACTTTTCCTTAACATTCCATGGAAACTTCTCTCATTAAGGTCGCCTACACATTTTCCAACACGTTGGCTCATTTTCAAGCTTAATCCTGTTTGTCCTCAGTGTATTTGTCTCTTGAACTTCTAGACACTCTCCTTCTTTGAATGCTTTCTTTCTTTCTTTCTTTTGAGAGGGAGTCTTGCTCTGTTGCCAGGCTAGAGTGCAGTGGGTGCCATCTCAGCTCACTGCAATCTCCGACTACCAGGTTCAAGTGATTCTCCTGCCTCAGCCTCTCTAGTAGCTGGGATCACAGGCATGCACCAACACACCCAGCTAATTTTTGTATTTTTAGTATTGACTGGGTTTCACCTTGTTGGCCAGGCTGGTCTCGAATGCCTGACCTCACATGATCTGCTCACCTCGGCCTCCCAAAGTGCTGGGATTACAAGCATAAACCACTGCGCCTGGCCTCCTCCTTTGAATTCTAAGACAGTATCCTTTTCTGGTTTCCTTTCACATCTCTGGCAGTTCTCTTTTTCCTTGCTCCCCTTCTAATGCCCACATTTTAAGTATTGGGGTCCCCAGGGCTCTGATGTCTGGCTTTATTCTTTTATCTCTCTCAGGTCTTCCTGGGTGATCTTATTCCTTCCTGTGGCTTGGGAGTCTGTGGCAGAACACTTCCATCTATGCACCTTAACACAGCTTTTTCAAATCCTCAAATAAGGTAGAGAAGGTGGAGACTGTTTTAGATCCCAGGCTCTTGGAACATTTCATTGACTACTTGCTATCTATGGACTTTATGTGAGCAGATTCAAAGAAACAGCCTTTCACAAAAGGTTTAAGTCTCGATGTGGTATCTTCTCAAACTTCTCCCTCTTCCGTGTCCTTCCTCCATGTCACTTTAACCATCCACATCCTATAATGCTGAGAACAGAAAGGGGCGGGGTTGGAGGTGAACTTCTGTTGCGTGTGGTC
Organism: Homo sapiens; assembly: GCF_000001405.40. Lineage (NCBI taxonomy): Eukaryota > Metazoa > Chordata > Mammalia > Primates > Hominidae > Homo > Homo sapiens. The sequence goes on along the minus strand of NC_000015.10, from coordinate 88,036,774 downwards.
TTTGTGTCTTCCTGCATTCCGTGGTCTACAATTCTAATAAAGCAAGTAGTCTGTAGTTGCAGGAAGGCTTGTGAGCTTTGGAGTAAACAAGACAGCCTGGGCATGGATCCTGTCTTCATCATTGTATTCTGTAATCTCTCGCTCCAGACACCTCCTTCCCGCAGCCCTGCGGCTTGAGACTGCCTCTCTATGATACTAAATCCCCAGCTTCCTCTTTTCCTTGCTTGCCCCCTTGTTTTGCTGACATCCCTCTTCCTGATGCATGCTAAGACGGGGACAAGCAAGGCAAATTTTTACACATTTGCAAATACTTTTATTTTGTTCTTAGAGTGGATTGATTTTTTTTTTTTTTAGGTGTAGATTTCCAGGTTAAAAAGTTCCCCATCCAAATGTTGAAGGAATTGCTCTGTAGAATAACAATAGTGGTATTGTTATAGAGAATGATTCCATTGTCTTTCTGATTGCTGTTCCTTTATAAATGTATCCCTCTTGCCTGGAAGCTCTTAGCATCTTCTCTTTATCTCTAGGGCTCTGGCATTTTGTAATTGTGTGCCTTGATATACGTGTGTGTGTGTATGTGCGTGTATGTGCACATACATTCATAGTTGTGCACTTGTGTTAATTGTGCTGGAAACTGGGTAAGTAATTTGGGTGAAATTTCCAAAAGTTTTTCAGTTTTCCATTCATCTCTTCTGTTCATATTCATTTTCCCTGTCTCTCTCTCTCTGGGATTTCTTTTAATTAGATGGTGGATCTCTTTATCAAACCTTTGATTTTCTTATCTTTCCTTTTTTATTTACCACCTCTTTCCTCTTTGTTTAATTTTCTGGAAGATTTCTTGGCTTTATCTTCCACTCTCCTTTAACTTTAAAATTTTGACGATCGTAATTTCCAAGGACTCTTCACTACCCTTGAATTGTTCACGTTTTAAATATTGCCTTGCTTGTATAGATGCAGTGTTTTCACTGACATCTCTGAGGATATTAGTAGTTTTTTTTGTTTAGAAAGTCTTCTTCTGCTTCCTGCATTGCCTCTGTTTCCTGCAGGTCGCTGATTGTCTACTTGTCTTGTGCTCTCCCATGCCGGAGCTTTGCTGAAGTGCCTGGTGATCTTGACTGCTTCTTCATATTTAGGAATTGAGCCCTAGAAAGCTAGTGCGATTCTGCCTTGTGTGCGTGGGTAGGGCTTGCCAACTGGCAGGTTTCACTGTGGCATGATCACAGAATGAGCTTGACTTTCCACTGGTAGATCTCCAAATGTCCATACCGAGAGGTATTTTTTGAGAGAATTCATCCAGAGATGTATTCTCTAATCTCCTGCAGGGTGCTGGTATGAGATGAGATTGGTGTGATGGGGAGGCAGGGTTGCAGGAAGAAGGGGCTGAGCTTCATGCTTCATCCCAGCCCTCTCCTGAGCCTTCTGAGTTCAATGTCTCTGGGTAAACCACTAGAGTCCTGTGGGAAGGGAGCAAGGTGATAGTGGGGGCGGGGCACCTTGTTCCCGCCTGGAGCCTCACTCCACCTCAGCCTTCCTGGCTCTCTTGTCCTTTCACATAGTGATCCTTTCCAGCAGAACTGGCTGCCTGCAAATATTCCCCCTGCAGTCCTGTTGGTCATCTCTTCTTCAACTCTTTCCTCTTTCCTCCTCTTGCCTCTTTCTTCTTTTGACTTTTTAAATTCCAAAATATTATTGAACTATCTTATTTTCTCTTATCACCACTTTTCCTCTTTCTCTTTGTGCACAGATATTTTTTGAATTTCCTTTTTTGTATTTTAGTAGAGGGAATGGTTAGTGTATGTTTGAGGAGGGAAAGAGGATAAAAACCAGTGCTTAGTTTTCCCTGTTTAACTGGAATTTGCTATAAAGTTTTTCAAAAAGTTTACAAGGTGTTTTCAGGAACTGGCTTCTTTTTTGCAAGGCAAGTGATTATTGTGAGTATTTGGGCAACCACTTACAGCTACTTTTCCATACGGTCTCCAAACACAGTCAGATATTTGTCATGGATTGGAATAAGCCTGTCTGTGCTGATGGAGTGGAATTCAGGGTCCTCCATTTGCATTTACCAGTCTCCCATTTAGTTCTGCCTCATTGGTGCTTCACCTCGCTATTTGATGGGAAATATTCTCTCCATAAACTTCAGTAAGATGTAATGGATTTCTGCAGTGGAAATATTGTTCAAGCTGCAAAACCAAATCACAGCAGGCACTTTGTCTGGGGCCTGTGTGTCTAGCAAAGCAGCCATTCAAAACGCCAGTTGTATGAAGCCACAAACAGTCACAGCTAATTCACTTTACAGGAGTTTTATTTGTATGTATGGGAGAACCACGGCACCAAACAGAAGCATTCTTCTACCAAGACTGCAGCGTTAATTATCTTTGCCATCTTGGGCTTTTTGAGTAACTGTATGTCCTTACTGGATTTCTTCTTTGGGTTAGAAAGAAGTGGGAGTGGAACTGGGGTTGATGAAGACACAAATGATGTTCTTTGAAGCCATTGGGTCAATGTGATATTTCAAGAGTGGGGCAGCTGGCCCAGCTGCTGGTATGGAGATCATGATGCAGCTTCGTTACTGTCATTTGTAAAACTTGGCTCAGCTTAGGTCCAGGCCCACAGTGGACTTACCTCCCTGTGAACAAGGGAGGGTTGATGGCTGAGTGCAGTAAAAGATAGAGGATACTCCCCTGGGAGTCTGGTGGCCAGCTGGAGAGGCTCTAGGTCTTTGAGCCACTCATCAGAGTTTCTTGATCCTGATTGTAAATGGGACTCACCTGGGGAGCTCTCACAATCTGATGTCCAGCTTGCACCCCCAGACCAATGGAATCAGAACCTCTGGGGATGAAATCCAGCATCAGACATTGTTAAAGCTCCCTAGAAGAGGAGGTACAGGGTGCACACTACTGCTAGGTCATTTTTAAAATCCTATTGTTGCTACATAAGAAAATAAACGTATTTAAAACTCTTATTTTGAACTAATTTGGACTTGGGAGAAAGTGAAAATAGTTTATGCCAGGGTCATTTAAATTTACCTTGATTTTCCAGCTGTTTCCATGGTTTGATAGGTGAGTAATTCTCAAGAAAGAGAATTTAGGGTGGTTCTCTGAATTCAGAATACAGAGCATTCGAGGAATACGCTTCCAGTGGATTTTGCTAATAAAGAAAATGTGGGCCGGGCATGATGACTCACACCTGTAATCCTAGCACTTTGGGAGGCTGAGGTGGGTGGATCACTTGAGGTCAGGAGTTTGAGACCATCCTGGCCAACATGGTAAAATCCTGTCTCCACGAAAAATACAAAAATTAGCCAGGCATGGTGGCAGGCACCTGTAATCCCAGCTACTCGAGAGGCTGAGGCATGAGAATCGCTTGAGTCCAGGAGGTAGAGGTTGCAGTGAGCCAAGATGGCGCCACTGCCCTCCAGCCTGGGTGATGGAGAGAGACTCTATTTCATTTAAAAGAAAAAAAAAAGGCAACCTATAGAATGGAAAAAAAATTGTAAGCCATGTATATCTGATAAGGGGTTAATATCTAAAATACACCAGAAACCCAAACAACTGAATTTATATATATATATATATATATATATATATATATATATATAACACACCCCCCAAAAGTAAAAAAAAGAAAATGTTTGTGATGGGAACAGTAGTTGGGGGTTGTCTGTGGACAGGGCTGGAAACTGGCCGGATGTGACGTCACCAGGTCCTGCGTCTCTCTTGGTGTGTGCAGGTCCCGTGGCTGTCATCAGTGGTGAGGAGGACTCAGCCAGCCCACTGCACCACATCAACCACGGCATCACCACGCCCTCGTCACTGGATGCCGGGCCCGACACTGTGGTCATTGGCATGACTCGCATCCCTGTCATTGAGAACCCCCAGTACTTCCGTCAGGGACACAACTGCCACAAGCCGGACACGTGTAAGTACTGGGATGGAATGCTCTCCCTCCTGGGGAGGGGAGGGTGGTTGGTGATAGACCATGTACCTGGGGTTCTGGAACCTTCTAGGGTGACCTGCTACCTGCCAACCTCCCACTTTCTAAGAGACCCTCCCTGTTTGTTTCAAAACTTGAAGAATAGCCTGAGCCAGGAGTCCCCGGGACCAGAGTCCTCTGCGAAGGGGGTCCTGTGGGTCTGAATCTGCTTCCCTTTTTTCTTCACCTGGGCTCAGCAGGACCCTGGGTGCTCCCAATAAGGCAGGAGACACAGAGAGGCTGTTCTTCTCTCTAGACCTGGCCTATGTAACTAGGAAACATAACCTGACTCTGTTTAGACAGCAGCCCCTGAGCTCACCAGAACCTCCACCCAAGCCTCCATGAGGGGGAAGGGAATAAAGGGCAGTGAGTACCTTTGAATGGAAACATCTCTCTAGCTGCCCCTCCAGTGCCCCGAAGTGTGCACTTTCTGAGAATCAGATCACAGCCCCAGCGCTAGGAACTCTCACCTCCCCACTGCAGATGTCTCACTCAGACCAGAGGGCTCAGGGCACCTGTTTCCCTCTCATCTCCCCTCTCCTGTTGGTTCCAACCCCTCTCCTTGTCCTTCTGCTGAGCCCTGCTAGGCCCCCTCTGAGCTCCTGGAGCCTCAATGACTTGTCTGTCCATCCAGCAGGGTTCCTCCTGCTGTGTGCCCAGGTTCAATCTGGGCCCAGCAACACCCAAGCAGACCCCCGCTCCTCCTACTCTTCCTGTCCCCAGGAAATGATCCACTGCATCAAGAGAGAGCACAGCAGCTCCTGGAGAACAGGGACACCCATGCCTGCCTGAGAGCTGGAAGGACAGAAGTGATCGGCTAGGTTGAGGCCTCACCTTACAGACAGGAATACCGAGGCTCTGGGTGGCTGCCCCAGGCTTCCTGACAGTGGGTTCTTTTCATGTCTCAGTGGGTTGCAGGGTGGGCCTAGGAAGAGGCGCTTTTTGGTCTTGCTCAGCCCCTGGGCAGAGCTCTCTGTACTTGGAGTACAGTCTTTGTAGCTCACAGAACTCTTGCTGCTCCTGCTGGTTCATCCTACAGCAGAGTGGGCACTGGGCTACCCCCATCAGCCTTTGCTTCATTTCCCTGGCTCTGAGTTTTAGGAGAGCATTGCCACAGTGGGAGGGAGTGGGCTTGAGTCAGCATAAGGTCATCGTTTGCCTCCTAACCTTGGGTGTTCTCCAGAATCTGTCTCAGTGTGTATCAGATGCTCCCTGTCAGTATCAGAAAAAGGACATCTGGGTTCTGAACCACGGCTGGGCAAGGAAGAGAGATACCTGTTTTTCAGATAAACCATGGGAAGCACAGAACAAAGATTAGTTCACTTCTGGCTAAATTTCCTGTCTCAGATCAGGCTCACCCCAGGACTGGCCTGGGTAGGACTGGGAGGAAGGACCTTCTATGGTGATAGCTGGGTCCAAGCTCAGTCTAGGGTTGATACTGAGTTTCCTAGGGTGCTGTTGATATTTGAGCAGAGACCTAGACATTGCTATGTTCAATATACAGTTGGTTCTCATTATCTGTATCAGTTGTGTTCTGTGAAGTCGCCGTGAACACTGAATTAGTGAACACTGAACCATTGCTCCTAGGGAAGACACGAGGTTAGGTTCCTGTGAGCCTCGGGTCACATTTTATCAACCAGTCAATACATAACCTTGTCATATGTTTCTGTTTAAAGACACCTTATTTAATACATGTTGTTGATTCATTAACATTGAACTCATGGCCATGGCCACTGTCACTCTTCCTGAGCAAAGCTTATCTAACACATGTGTTTTTTCTGTGAGGCACATCACAGCTGTCCTAAGCTAAGGAACACTAGCCAATACTTCAGAACGATGCTTGGGGGCCCTACCAAACTGCATAGTCACTAGCAACAAGCACAAAAGTGTAAAAAAATGTGGTCTGGAATAGACCACAAAAAAGGTAGTTGTTTATAGTATGAGAGTTGAAACAAGAATTTTAGAACAATGTACATGATAAATATGACAGATGACAGGTTTTTTTTTTCCAATTAAAATAAATGATTTTTTTTTAAAAAGGAAGAAGGCAGATATCTCCTTGTTGAGTCTCAGCTGGAAACGTGCCTCTAAGGTCACATTTTGTCACTCTACACATGGCCCTAAATGACCAGGAAAGTGCCTTGAGTCTTGGTTTTGGCACTGCACATAAATTTTAGAAAGTAAGTGAATTCCCAAATACAGAATCTGTGAATAATGAGGATCCCTCTGTCCTCTTTAGTGGAAGCTCTGGATTCCTGGTGCAGAATATGATCTCGTGATCATATCTGCTCACAGAAGCTCCTGATACCAGGTTATCCGCACAGTTGCCAGATGGGATGACTCTCTGGTGTGTTGGAGGCAAGTTTCCTCTGGGCCTTCAGAATAAGTGTCCCCATGGAAGCCTGGGAGCCATGGAGAGAGCTATGGGGCCTGGTGAACATCCTTTGGTGTCAAAACAAAGCATAGCCAAGGACTCATCCCACTAGGCAAACCATGTGGAGGAAGTCTTCCTTCTAGAGCCCTCTAGATTTGTGATTCAAAGTGGCTATTCTCAGGATCCAGACGGTTCTTCAGTGTAAACAAGAAAAGGTTGGTGAAAATGGGAAGGCAGCAGGTTTACTGATGAGACTTGAAGGAGCAGGGGAAAACAAACAATGCCTTATCAGAGGAAAATCATGAGATGACTCCAGATCATCAGAACCCTCTGATGCTGGGGAAAGTAGCCCTTTTAAAGAAGTGGGACTTTCTGTTCCATCAGTAGACAGCAAATGGCTCCTAATTGTTTTCAGAAAACATGAGTGGCATGACAGACAATGAGCAGGAGCATTGTAGCTGCATTTGTCTAATCCTCCCTCTGCTAATCCTTTGGTGACTCACACAGACAGGGTGAAAGGGGACCCAGGCCAGTCCTCAGCAGAGATTTACTGGCTGAGCCAGCAGCAGGTCTCTGATTAACCAAGCCTTCATCAGTCGAGGGAACAGACTCCAAGACACATCCCTGTGTGCGATGAGCCACTATCATAAATAATTAAAGCCACATGCATCTTGGCATATAAATAAGTGGAGAGTATTTATGGTGTGGCAGATAAGGCCAGGGTCACTCCTTTAGGGGGATGGCAAGAACCAGGAAGGTTAAGAGAATAAAAATGCTCACATTGTGAATCCCCCAGGGGGTCTCCTCATTCTGATTCCCTTCTTTGTCCCATTTAAAAATGTGTAATGTGGGGTGGAATTGCATGAACATAATGCTACCTGACTTCACCCCTTATTTCCCCATCCCCCCAGTGATGGATTAAGCACAAATGTGCTTTTCTTTCTGTACTTATGTATTTATTATAAACAGTGGGATCTTTCTGATGGAAATGATTAGGATGCTGGTCCTCTCCTTGCTTCTCACTTTCTATCTGCTTTCAATCTGGTCCATAGCATTTTTCCTAGCATGTCAGGCTGCAAGGATATTTAGAGATCACCTGGTACAATCCCTTATCAGATGCTTGCATCCCCACACCTATGTTCCCAGCAAGGGCTCTGCATTTGACATTGTCTTTATTCTGCATTTATTTAGCCTTTCCAGGGATTCCGAAAGAGCGGAATAAAGATGCTCCTAGTTTGCAATGTATACAGAACCCAAAGCCTAATAAAGCCCCCCTCATTATTTTTGTATAGCCCTCTGGTTCTTGAGAGCATCAGGAAATGGATACAGCCCTCCTGGTCACACAGCTGAGGACCCTAGACTTTGGGCCAGGTCCGATAGAATGAGAAGTCAAGGGACCAGTCCAGATGGGTCACTTGGGAGAAGCTAAAAGTTATTTGTAGCAACATTGGACCCTCAGTTACCTTTGTCACCCATGTGGCAGCTCTGGACTGCAGTAAGTTGTTCATGGATGAGGGCTGGACTGCTTGCTGCTTTCTCAGGAGTCACACATTGGCCTTTTCCCATAAGCCAGTTGAAAGGCTTCTTGGTTAATCTTAAGGATGAACAGGGTTCTCTGTTCATCCTTTTCTCCCCACACCCATACTCTTGGTTGAGAAAACAGAGACCATCTGGGGAGAGGCAACTGCCTCTGCCCCGTCCTTCTGTCCTTGGGTGTCCTTGTCAGCCTTTGCTCCCATGTTGTCCCTGTCTCAGAGGAAGCAGCGTCTCCATCTTCCCAGAGTCATCCCCTCCCAGCCTTCCCAGTCTGGGTCTGCAAAGATGGCCTGTCTCCATCCTGGTTGGCCCGCCCTTTCCTCTCTTCTCCCCCTTGAGGTAGTGTCTGTCTGCTCCTCTGCCCATCGCCACACCTCTTGTAGGTCTCTGTCCTGAAGGTCCATCTGTTTCTTTTCCCCAGGAGCCCCTCCACTCTCCATCCAAGATCACTTTGCAAAACCTGACCATGTTCCTTTGAGCTTCCTTTCCTCCTTAGCATCCGAGTCACTTTCCACTGTGCTGATTTTTCCCCTTTTGTCTATTTAATCCATGTTTATTGAGGGTTTGTGTCAGCCTTTCTTTTAGGCACTGGAAACACTGGGGAACAAGAGACACATGGTCTCCACCCTCATGGGCTCACGTCCAACCATAGCTGAACACCAAGACATGGGATGGCGCCCCCTGCTGCAGGACCACTGAGAGCACCTTGTGCCCTCCCTCCCTCCCTTCCTGTCTTGCTCTCTTCTTCAGCTTTCTGCTGATGACTCACCAGCCTTTATTCCTTCTTTCCAGATCATCATTCCCACACCTCCAGCCACTACCTTGAAATGCCCATTTTCCCTCCTCACCCTCACTCCCTCTCCTTTCCTTCCACACCCTGTTCGTCTTTTAACACCTCTTTCATTTCTCGCTTCTTGTGAATTCTTCCTAGCCCCATGCTATCGCAATGGGACCTTTCCTTCCTTCCTTCTAACCCATAGCTTAGTCAGTGCCATGCCCCAGTCTTGAATGACTTTGAGCCAAATCATAGGTCAGCCTGCCGTTTCTCAAATATACATGTCCTGTTTCCCAAACCCGACTTTGAGTTTATTCCTAGTGTCATAATTCTTTATTTTCAACAGAAACCACAGCATGGAACTAGGGTCAAAGAAGGTGCTAACTAAGATGTGTCAGATGACTCCACGCCCAGGCTCTCTAGAAACTCAGAGAGGGGCCAGGCACGGTGGCTCACGCCTGTAATCCCAGCACTTTGGGAGGCCGAGGCGGGGGGATCACGAGGTCCAGAGATCGAGACCATCCTGGCTAACACGGTGAAACCCCGTCTCTACTAAAAATACAAAAAATTAGCCGGGCATGGTGGCAGGTGCCTGTAGTCCCAGCTACTCGGGAGGCTGAGGCAGGAGAATGTCATGAACCCGAGAGGCGGAGCTTGCAGTGAGCCGAGGTTGCGCCACTGCACTGCAGCCTGGGCGACAGAGCGAGACTCTGTCTCAAAAGAAAAAGAAAAAGAAACTCACAGAGAGGAAAAGGAAAATACTATTGATTTGTATCAACAGCCTCTTTAGAGCAAGCACTGGGCTGGTGTTTTATGTTTTTTTTCTTATGCGATCTTTAACTAGCTCTCTGAGGGGGAGCTACTACTCCCATTTTATAGCTAAAGAAACTGAGACTCAGAGAGCTTAAGCTACTTGTTCCAGATCATACAAGAGAGAGCCTGAGATTTAAACTCAGACCCGCTACCTCCAGCATCCATCCCTCCCCTATCAAATCTCGTTGCCTAGACTTCTAGTGATTGACATATACTCAGCAAGGCTGGAGGTAAGGGAAGCAACCTATTAAGGACAGTTCTTTTGTTTTGTAGAGGCTCATTCTTCTGTTTCTAGGATAAGGACAGCCCTGTATAGGGTGTTCAGGGTTGGCTGAAGGCCTCTGAAGTCATGAGGCTGGGCCAACCTGGGTCTGGCTGTTGGCACTTATTACCCCTCTCTGAATTCTCCATAGAATCAAGTTCTTGAGGGGCCATGACTGCCTTCAGATAAGGTGATACCTGGCCCTGGGGTTAATTTTTATTTATTTTAAAGAACAGTTTTAGAATAGGTTTAGATTTACACAACAATTTCAGAAAGTACAGAGAGCACCCACATATTTCCTTTAAGTCCCCACCTGTCACTACAGTTTTCTCTATTATTAACATTTTGCATAATTATGGTATATTAGTTGCAATTGGTGAACCACTATTGATACATTTTTATTAATTAAAGCCGCAATTTAAGAAGGGTTCACTGCTTGTGTTGGACAAGTTCTGTGGGTTTTGACAAAAGCATAGTGTCATGTATCCACCATGACAATGTCAGACAGAATAATTTCACTGTCCAAAATGTCCGCTGTCCTCCATCTGTTTATCCCCTCACACCCTTCAATCCCTGGCGACCACTGATCTTTCTACTGTCTCTATAGTGTTGTCTTTTCCACATGTCATATTGTTGGAATCATAGTGTGTAGCCTTTTCAGATTGGCTTCTTTCACTTAGCAATATATGTTTAAGGTCCTCCATGTCTTTTCCTGGCTTGATCGCTCATTTATTTTTTTATTTTTTATTTTATTTACTTATTTATTTATTTTGAAACGGAGTTTCACTCTGTCGCCCAGGCTGGAGTGCAGTGGCGCATTCTTGGCTCACTGCAAGCTCCACCTCCTGGGTTCACACCGTTCTCCTGCCTCAGCCTCCTGAGTAGCTGGGACTACAGGCACCCGCCACCACGCCTGGCTAATTTTTTGTATTTTTAGTAGAGAAGGGGTTTCACCGTGTTAGCAAGGATGGTCTCAATCTCTGGACCTAGTGATCTACCCGTCCCGGCCTTCCAAAGTGCTGGGATTACAGGCGTGAGCCACCGTGCCTGGCCTGATAGCTCAGTTATTTTATTTTATTTCTTTTTGAGACAAAGTCTTTCTTGTCCCCATGCTGGAGTGCGATGGCTCAATCCCAGCTCACTGCAGCCTCCACCTCTCGGGTTCAAGCGATTCTCATTTATTTTTATCACTGAGCAGTACTTCATTGTATGGCTGTATTACAGTTTTTATTTCCTCACTTAGTGAAAAGCATTGTGTTAGTTTCTTAGGGATGCCGGAATACAGTACCATAAGTTGGGTGGCCCCAAACAACAGAAATTTTTTATCTCACAGCTCTGGAGGCCCAAAGTCTGAAATCAAGGTGTTGACAGGGCCATCCTCCCTCTGAAACCTATAAGGGAATCAATCCTTCCTTTCCTCTTCCTAGTTTCTGGTGGTGTTGCTGGGAATCTTTGGCATCCCTTGGCTTGCAGCTGCATCACTCCAACCCTCTGTCTTCATAAGACTGCCTTTTTGTAAGAACACCAGACATATAGTTTTAGGGGCCCATCCTTATCCTCACTTAAGTAATCACATCCACGGTGACTCCATTTCTAAATAAAGTTTACATTGTAAGGCACTGGGAGTTAGGGCTTTGACCTAGCTTTTTTGAGGGGGACATAACCTGTAACAGACAACTTCATTGCTTCCTCTTTTGGGCAATTATAAATAAAGCTGCATAAACATTCATGTGCAGGTTTTGTGTGGAAATAAGTTTTTAACTCATTTGCATAAATATCTAGACACGTGATTGCCTGGTCATGTGGTAAGAATATGTTTAGCTTCATAAGAAATAGCAAAAGTGAATGGTTATACCAAGTGAGGTTCATTGCATTTCACATTAGACTGGCTTTCACCAATCAGCTCCTGCCCGAGGGTCTCCTGGCACTTGTGGATGCACACTGTCCTTCTTGGTGTGCCTGGTGAAGTGTATGTGTTGTGTGTGTGTGTGTGTGGCCACACACGTGTGATTGTACCAACCTTTCTCTCTTCTGCTCTAAAGTATACCGGTAACTGATGACTGTGTAATTCTTATTGGATATTCACATTGACTAATAGTGAGCATACTTCACTTCTAAGCTGTCATCGGTCAAAGACCAATTGCCATGTTTACTAAAAGACTGGCACCTCTTGGTACCAACCAATGTGTCCATGCCTTCACAGCATTTCAAAGGCAGCTTGTCAGGGTGATTCTCCATGATGTCAGCCCTGAACCCCACCTTTCCAGGCATCCTAATTCTTTTCACTTTCCCAGAAGTCTTGTTGACACTTTCTCTTTCCCTACATGTCACTTTCAAGCTGGTTTCCATGCTGAATCCATTTTTCCACATGAGTTTCTAGATTTTAAACTATAGATGTGCATTCAGCTGCTCCTGGCTGGTCACCCCTTCCCATTTCTTTCCTAGATCTGTCCTACATCCTCCCTGGCTGACCTGGTAGCTCTGTCTTGGCGTCGTCTTGGCCCCTCACTCTCATGACATTGCCAAAACTCCATCTCTGTTGGTTCTCTTCAACTTCCTTTTCTCTTTTACTCCTTCAGTCAGTCAACAAACATCCACTGATCCCTTCTTAAGTACCAGGCACTCTCTGTTAGGCCCTGGGGATAGAGCAGACAACCTACCCTTTCTTACCCCTCTTTAGCTACAGAGCAGTAGTGTGGAGTTCCTGGCCTCACTCTCTTTCCCTAGGAAAACTGCTTGATGCATTCCCCTCTAACATATCAGCCCACAAGGCAAAGAACATCTGCACAGATAACCAAAGCTGGAACTGCTAGATCTGTGCACTGTCTCTTTAGCTGGGACATCAGAGTGTGCAAGCGGCTTATCTCCTCCTTTTCTTCTGGGTCAATTAACCATGAAGCTTGCTTTTTCTGGAAGAGGAATTGCCCAGGCCAGTTTCCAGCTGTGGTGGGGAGCACAGAGCCTGTGTGCATAATGCAGTATTAACAGTGCATCAGCGTGATATAGATTTCTGTCACCTTCTATGCTAACAAACATCGCTTAGCGTAGGGTAATGATGGGTGTTTATTCCCAGCCACTTAACTCAGCATAATGGACTTGCAGATGAAATACGGAAAATGGGCTCCTTTGTCTAGGAGGCTGGGGCCCTTCCTGGAACCAGTAACAGAGGCAACAGCAGCAGCTGCTACTCCTGCAGAAAAAGTCTTTCTAGTTCTTTCTCTAGAAGAAGTCCGGGATGGACTTGCCTGATGCAAAGAAGGAGATCTGGTTACAGGGCTGGGCTGGGAGCATGGGGTGTGCGGCTGAAGAGGGTAGGTTGGCATACCAGGGGCTGCTGTTAGCTTCCTGCGGTTGTTTTAGGAGGCAGGCTCTGCTAGATGTGACATGGGAGAGAAATAGGACCAAGGTGGGTGGGGGATTCTGATGGGTCCCCTCTTTTATTCTCCTGGTTGGATCTTGACAGTCCACTCTAGGGGAACCATAAGATGAATCTTGGTGACTCTTGGTTAATAATGGAAACATTTAGCTTTAACCTTTTTCACCAGTTCAGTATCTCCAGGCCCTGCTTGGTAGGCAGTGTTTCATAAAACATTTTAAATGGACATAAATTAGTATTGTCTCCCTCTGATTTTTCTTCAATCTTATCTTCAGATTCAGTTAGAATAACTAGGAGACCCCCAGGAATTCTGTGATGCTAGGTTTGGTAAGCCCAAGGTCTCTGGAGGGAGGGATGAGTCTGAAGACATTACTAGTATTCTTTCTTTGTAGAAAGAGCTGGATGTTGCCAGAATGAGATATCTTGGGAGCCAAGCAAATAAGTCCTGGGCCCATGGGCTTGAACTTTAGTATACATACAAGCTTGTCCACAGAGTCTCAGCCTCAAGATATTAATCTCTGCTGGGTGCTGATGTCTGAGTTCCCTAAATGTTGGTACAATCCAAGCATAGCACTTTGACATTTTTCCCCCATTCCTGGAAGAAAAAAATCATATGAAGCCATTTCCCTGAAATTAATTGAAAACACTAGACTTTCCTAGCATGCACTTTGGAGCTAAAACCAACTAGTTCAAAGTGACAGATTAGCATTCATCTCCCTGGGCCGAGACCACCTGCCATCCTTGTGGTTATCATGACCTCATCTGCTCTGTGCCTCACTGCCATAATCACATACTCAAAGTTAGTAGCTGCATGCAGTCATGCTAATTAAGTAATTAGGTCTAATTATGCTCACTGTAAATACAAGGTAATTGGCTTTAAAAAAGTACTTGAGGGATAAGCATTCACTTCATGGTCGAGGAGGGGAAGAATGATGAGACCCCCAGCCAGCTTGGAGTAATGTCATTTCCCGGTGGGATGGGAGCCCAGGGGAAGCTGCACCCAAAAGCTGAAGGTGGGCAGAATATGGAGTGGGTCCTTTCTGTTTCGCTCAGTGGCCTAGAAACAGAAGGACTACTTGTCTTCCTGGCATGTTTTGGCTTCAGTCTTGTCTTCAAGGAGTAAGAGGATTAACTTTTCTCCAGAGATCCTTTCTAGCTCAAGATTTCCCAGAGATAAGTAATTTATGTTTTTTCTTCGTCAACTGGATTCAGGCATCCAGTCTGTATTGGAGTTTTAAAGGGTCATAATTCTGAACCAGGTAAAACATATACATAGGGGTCAGATAGGAATCAAAAGATGAGCATTATTGTTGCGCCCAAGAAGGCAGCTTGGGCGTAAAGCCAAAATGGGTTTTTTGGTGCTTCTCCTGTCTTGAACTTGGATGTACAGATAGAACTTGGGTTTGCTGAGCAGATATTATTCATTCAGTTGCATGGAAGGTCATGGTTTACCTTACCTTTTGGAAGCCAGAGAGCTTAAGAACACCCCAGGAAGCTCATATGCACAGGGAGAGACTCCCTTTCCTTCATGAACTTTGCCCAGAAGAGAAATGTGATGGTGGATGATGGACTCCGCCCTCATCACCCATCAAATAAGTCACTTGCTTTTCACAGGGAGAAGCCAGGAATGCAGGGTAAGGGAAGGGCTTAGGGTTACTTCCCATGTCTCCAAGGAGTCAGACATTCTTATTTTAAGGGCAGAAGTTAAAAATCAGGGAAAGGGAAAAAGATCTCCTTCTCCCACCTACAAGCAGGAATCTCGGTAGTTGATGGTGGTCTCTATTAGTGTTCTCTTTCCAAAAGCCCTTTTCCAGGAGAAAGCAGTCATCATCTCCATCTTGCTGTGAGTGAACACGTGAGTCATACCTTATGACAGATGTCCCAAAGAATTTGTCGGTTCTCATTCCCCTTGCACTATATTGTTGATGGTCAATAACTAAAAACCAAAGCTCTACCTACATCTTAGCCAAGAAGCCAAGAGTACAACTGCTCTTCCATCTTCTCTCCAGCTGCCTTTAATTCATTGTTTTGCAAATTGTTCTCTGAAGGATACGAATAGGCATTGCTTAAAAAAAAAAAGTTTCATGGTAAAATAATTTTGGGAAAACCTGGATTAAGTAACTTTCGTACTGTAGGATTCTGAGAGCCTTTAATTCTAGAGATCCCTGAGACTTACCAAGAAGGACCTTTGGTCTGCAGCACTTCTCAAATTTCTTGAGCTACTGAACCTGATTTTGAGGTATACCTGTTAGCATCTCTGTAGACACAGATGTTTCAATGGATCCCATTCAGGGCTGTTCTGGGGTTTGGGGGCTCCATTGTTGCCTCCCCAGCAGGTGTGGTCACTCACTGTGACAGTGCCCAGATGGGCCTGAACCCATTTGGCACAGGCACTGTCACATTTCCTCTCAAGCCCCTCGGAGGGACAGGACGTAGCTGCATTCCGTGGGAATAGCCCGAATTGGGGTGGTAACATTCTTCAGGATTTCTGGCAGAGCACTAAGTGCCCTCCACTTAAATGGATCAGGGGATCTTTGCCTGTTGTTCTCTTCCTAGAAGCTGTTGCAGGTGCTTCTAACACTTCCTAAACCCCAGATCCGGAGATGCTGGTCATGGCCAAATTTTCACTGCATTCCTCGTTTCCAGGCAGATCTGCTGCCTCTTAGGAATGGAATCTTAGGGAGCTGCTCCAAGGAGAAATGCTTAAATCAAGATGCAGGCAGCTTTCTCAAAGTCACTGTTTCCAAACAATTGTTGGGAAGGTCAAAACATCTTATTTAAAGAAGAGAATATAATGGTCTTGGCATGGAGTAGGCAGGGTCTAGCGGCTGAGAGAATGAGCTGAACTAGGGGGTTACAGAGGATCCTTTTTCATTAGAAACAAAAGTGACATGAGAGTGGGTGGCCTTAGACCCAGGTCCCAGCCTACCACTCAGCCACTGCATGACTGTGGGCAAGACACCTGCCTTCTCTAAATTTGAGATAAGAAAAGGTGACCACCTTGGCAGGTATCTTTTGAGATGAAGCGGTAGGAGAATTTGAAAATACTCTGTAAACTTGTATAAGTGACAATATGTGATCATCCTTGCCTTGACAGCAATATTTTTACAACTATCATTACAATTTCTGATATAAATATGCTGTTGGGGGAAACCAGCTTGATGGTACTGAAAAATATATTTTCCAAGCTTGGATTTATTTCTGAAAAAAGAATCCCCTCCAGCGACTTCTTTCCCCCAACTCTAAGAAGCAGCATTTTATCACCCGGCTCCACAGCTATGAAGATGCTCTTAGGAGTCGGAACTGTAATATGTTGGTTGTCAGGAAATGATGGATGTAGATGAGCAGAGGGCTCAGGCCAATTTCCTTTTGGGTTAATGAGACCGAAACTCTGTGGGCTCAACTAGAAGGTGGCAGAGAGATTCATGGCGAGATTCTTTTGTTTGTGTTTTTGTTTGATTGATTCTTTGTTTCACCCTTCCCTTTGTCATCAAACTTAATTTTGTTGAAACAAATTCCCCTTCTCCCCTGTATGCCTGCCCATGTGCTTTACGCTGAGTTCTCATATGTTTGTGCCTGCACGGTCCCCTCCGAAGTTAGGGCTTCAATGTCTGTCTGCTTATTTGACTTCGTTTTTGCTTGTCCTTAGACATGAGTGCACAGCCCTTTTGTTTTTTCTTAGCAAACTTACACATAGGATCTTCAGACACAAATGTACATATGTCTGAGTCTTGTTCATATTCTCATGTTTTAGACACTGATTGTATCAGTTGAGATCCTTTTGACTGAAAGTACAAGATAATCCTGACTCACTTGGCTTAAGACGTTGATCATCACATAACTCAGCTAAACAGCTAGGGAAGGATCCTGATGAAGTGTATTAGGACTCTAGCTCTACTTTTTGTGATTCTCCTGCCTCTGCCTTTCTGTATTTTGCTATATCACCAGGTTAACTTCTCTCATGGCTACAAAATGGTTGCAGCAGATCCAGGCATCACAACCAAACACATGGACTAGGGGCCCCACAGGGTTGTCTTTTCTTGTGGGTGGGTTGAAACTGAGAAAGCTTTTCCCAAAGCCCCTAAGTAGTCTTTCCTGTTTCATTGGCCAGAATTATGTCATATGTTTATTCCCAAGCCAGTCATTCTTAAGGGGAATGGAATTACCCCCAAGCACTTTAAGCTCCTCCAGATTCTCCCCTGGGGCTGGGAATGGAACTCATTTTCCCTGAGGCATATGGTTGCCTGGAGGGCATATGTCTCCATAGAATCACAGGGCTCTGTTAGCAAGAAACAGGAAGTGGCTGTTAGAAATGACAGTACCTGCCACCCAGGTCTCCTCCAGGAGTAAAGCAAATGCTCACCTAGGCTTTCAGCCTTGCAAATACTGTCATCCTGCTCCTCTAGGAGTAAGCAGGTGCCTCTTGGGGTACAGGGGGTAGAATGAAGATGAGAACATTGATACCGTGTACATTTTACTCCTTGTATCTCTCCTCTTAGGGAGAGCAACCTAGTAATTTGTTGTTGTCATCATCACTGTTCTGGTCTGGTAAACTGTCCTGCTAATGTTCAAGGCTAGACTTGTATGCCTGGGTGATGAAACATTTCTGCTTGTGGTTTTAGCTGGATCCAACTATCTTGGTTGAGCAAGCTGTGTGAATTCCTCAGAGCTGCTATGTGATCCTTTGGGAGCATAGCTTTTGGAGAGTAGGTGGGAGCAGGTAGGTGGTGAAGAGAGGGGAAAAGGGGGAGTAGTAAAAAAATAAAGAAATGCATTAACATTTACTGAATACTTACCAAGGGCCAGGCTCTGAACTTGAAGTACATTCAAATAATAATAAAATCATACACTGCGTAGTGCTTTTTATATCTTAGGCACCAAAATCAGTTTAAATATAATAATAAATTGTTTAATCCTCATAAAAATCCTATGAGGTAGCTTCTATTACTTTCCCCATTTTGTAGGTGAGGAAACTGAGGCACAGGGAATGGTTAAAATGTTTGCTAAAGTCTTGCAGCTAGAAAATGACAAAACTGTGATATGACAGAGCCCACCACCCCCTCTTCTTTTCATGAAGTCATTCTTTCTACATTAAATCAAGCTTTAATGTAAGTGTAGTGTTCCCCACTTTACAGATTAGGCATTTCCTAGGGAAGCAAGGAAGTTAAGGGACTTGCCCAAGGTCATTTACTGGTCAAAGGTAGAGCCAGGATTCAAACTCTAGAGTTTAGGAGCATGCCACTTCTACTAACCTGGGATACCCCCTCCCACCGTCAGCTGACTTCCAATTCACCCACACCCCCACCTTTTGGGAGATCTTGGAGACTTTCAGACAGATACCAGTTTGGGTGACCCATGGTGCTCACCAGTGAGGCAGCAGAAGGCAATTCCTCTCTAGCACTTTAGCTCCTATGTAGTCATCCCCCTCCGTGTGTCCACCCCAGGAGGCTCTTTGGAGCTTCAGATCCCCATGAGGCAGGCCTCCCAGAAGCAGGGTCCAGCTAGAGATGGGCATTGGTGGTGATGCAAGAGCTACCCTTGAAGGAGAAGAGCAGAAGTCCTTGGATCCAAGTTGACCTATTTTTGGCCGAGTCTCCTTTTATCCTGTCGCTGGTGGATCTGTAGCTTGATTTGTCACCCAGATTGTGGCTGGGCCTCTCAGCAGGCAATGTATAAGCTTCTGTCCCCAGACCTAGAATTGCTGGTGATATAGCAACTCTTCGCATTGGATTCTGCTGAGTCGAGCAGCCCTCATGCCACTGGTAATGAAGAAGTGTTGGGATTAAACTCCTAATGGCTCATTGATTGGTTGAATTATGCTCAGTGTAATTCTGAAAATAGATTTTAAATATGTGCTTGGGGATTTGTGGGGATTTGTTACTTAGGAGCTTTAACTAAATCATGGCTGGTTTGACAGAGACATCAACACAGGGAGCCTGTGCCTGGGATGTGATGTTCATCTCTGGGTGACCCCTCTCCCCCTATTCCCCAAAGTCAGGAAAATGTGCTGGGTGGGGTGGCTAGGGGTGGGATGGTCCCCCCTCCCTTCACATATATTCCTTTGTTCAGGTCTTGAGAAGGTCAGCTTGGTTGAACCAACCACTGCAAACCCCTCAATATTGCTAAGGTGAGATGGAGACATCACAGGTTCTGGATTCTCCCTTTTATTTCCTCTGAAGTTAAGAGCAGAAGTTGTCTTCTTTCTAACTCCAAGCTTTCACTTTTCCTGGAGCTGCCACTCTGGGGAAGAACCAAAGGGGAAGCCTTCATGGATGCTTAGCTAATCAGCCTTTTGGCATATTCTGGTGCCGTCTTTTCCTTCTGCATCCTTGTATCCTAGGTCTAAAGGGGGAGCTGTATGAAGGGTTCCTGGTCTTGGGCTGAGCTTCTAACATCCATGCTTCTTTTGGTGAATGCCAAGTTAACTTGGAGACAATAGAAAAGCTAATGAAGGCCCCTCTGTGAGGGAGCAATCATTAGAAAATAATAATCAGAGACCTCCCAGCACACCCCAAATCACTCACCTTATATTTCTTTCCCTCTGGTCTATCAGAAACCTAAAATGCCTCCCATTTTTGGTGCAAGGTAGATCAGAAAGAAACAAGGGATGTTGTAAGTGAGGCTTAATGAGGCAAATTTGAAAGATGCAGTTAGACCATATTTCCATGGGGAATTTGGTCAGGGGCTTTTTTTTTTTTTTTTTTTTTTTTAAGCTTCGTCTCTTCCATTTTAACCTCTGTCTGAAAGGGTATATTCCCCTTCCCTGGGATAATTTATACTCAGCCAGTCTTTATGAAAGAAAAAAAAATATCCCCAGAGAAGGGAGGAAGTAAAAACAAAACCTGGAAGAAAAGAAAAAAAAATGACACTCTCCTCTAATAAAGAAATTACTGACGTTCTACATTATGAACTGTATTAATTTTTAATGGCTGAGAAAGGAGTTGATTTATAATGCATCCTTCCCGGCTGCAAAGCCTGTCCCCAGCTAATAAATAAATGACAGGTCTCTTGTATTAAAAGTATCCATCATCTTACAGTGTTGGAATGTAAATGGTGAGAGGCATTGAATGAGAGGCCCCTGGGAGGGGGTGTGCCCTGCTGTGCCCAGCTGGAGAAGAGCCTGCCATAGCATTCTGCTTAGTTCTGACACAGCTTAGCCCATTCCTTCATCTTGTTTTCAGCAAAGTGATCCAAATAGCTGCAACTCTTACGGTCCAGGAGAAAGTTCATAAGAAAAGGTGATGGGCCATTTAGGAACAATTCATGATGTAAATTTAAATTCCTGGTGTTTAAGCAAAACTGTCCATGGCTTCTCCTTACATATCCTCAGGGCTTCCTCATTGGCTTCCCATGCATCTCTGGGATTATGTGTTCAGTAGTTCATCCTTTGATGGTGGTCACAGCTCTGGTTAGCCTCTCTATGTCTCTTTAGAAAACAGACAGAACACCTAACATTTGTTTCTGGTTTCAAAGTAATATACAATCACTGAAAATATTTTGAGGAAAATCCAGAAAAGTGAAAAGAAGAAAATAAGAATCATCCCTAATGCCACCCCAAGTGATGAATGCATGACATTTTGCCTTATATGCACAGGCTAATAACATACGCAGACATGTACACATCAACATGGACATGTATAGCACACACAAATGAGATCATATTCTGCATACGGTTTCATAATCTGAATTTGTCATCTAGTAGCCTATCATAGACCTTTATTTCACAATGCCACTATTTTTAATGGCTACATAATACGTGGCCAGGCTATATTCACATTGGAGCCGCTGTAGAGCTGGCGATCAGTCAATCAAGATGCATTCCTTCGTTCTTCATTACAGTGCCAACTCCAGAATAAACATAGTGCAGGAGAAAAACTGAGTACAAAGATGATTTTTGCACAGAGCTCCTAATCTTGGAGCAACTACTATGCTGCAGAGTCAATGCAGTGAGGCTGAGAGATGAACAGAGTGGCATCATCCCCGCATGAGGGAGTCCACACTCCAGCTGGGGAGACAGGCCAGGAAACAGTTCTGGAGATATGAGCATAATGAGATGCCTGCCACAGAGACCCTGCAACTAAAGGGCCCAGTGTGCTTAGAGAGCAGTGGCTTGTTTAAATTAGGGGAGCAGAGGCTTGGGTAAAGGCTCCACAGAGGGGAGAGTGTTTGAGCTAGGACGCTGCGGGGAAACTTGGACTGGCAGAGATGGACAGGAAGGGCCTTCCAGGCCACCGTAGCAGTAGCAGGAGGCAGACAGGGGGCAGGGTTTGGTGGGGGCAGGGCTGGAGGTGAGTGACCAGAGAAGGACTCCCTCCCGGGGTGGAGGGAGCAGGTCTTGTTGATGTATTAAATAGCATAGCTTATTGACACAATAATTACGAATTTATTCGTAGAATTTGCACTTACATAGTCCAGGCCTTTGTTTATCACGCTTGTCACTGTTTCTCAGAAGTAGGTGATGACTAGAGGAGTGAAGAAACTATCAACACTGTAATAAAAAAGGTAAAACAAAGTAGCAAGTTATTCTCTCTGAATTTAGGGACAGTTCCAGGCAGACATAGAGAGACCCCTGTTCCAGAAAGAAGAGAAATGAAACACTCACTGAATATACCTTTCAGCACAGGGAACGTTATGTAGAAAATGAGAGCGATCTAGCAGTTGCTGCCAGCAGGCTCCACTCCCTCTGATTTATTTATATTGTCTTCATAGGCTTATAAAAATGGAAGTTTGCCTAGATTTGGAGACTAACATTTCTATCCTTTCACATATGAATTTATTTCTTGATTTGTTGTGCATATTTCTAAACATAGATCGACCAATGACTTTTGCTTTTGGAAAAATAAAAAAGAAAATCTCGGAGCTGGTGAGAAGAGGAATCAGAGACCGTGTTCCTGCAAAGAACCTGCTCCGGTGTTGCCGGAGAGGTAGGCGGGGAAGCATCCAAGAAGCATTTATTCCTTGAGCACCTGAGAGAGCCTGTTTTTTTGGCAGGTGGAAAAGTGGCAGCCCAAGATCAAGTCCTAGCTGGTCTTGGTTTTATCACCAGTTAGTTGCAGTTGCAATATGATCCTCGCTTATATTTTTGCCTTCAAATCTTGGACCCAAAATTATTCCAGCAATAGGAGTTGGCTGAAAGCTAAGTTTTTCCTTTCCTGCTCTTTAATTCTCATTCACTTAACTTCCTTGTAGAACATAGAAGTTTTTTTAATCTGAAAAATATCTCAGAGATCCAGTGAGACTTATCTTTTCGTTTAGTAGATGAGGAAACTGAGGGCCAAACACATAGTTCAATGATATTAAACTGCATAAGGATTTGGAAGAAGGAACAGGTCTAGGACCAATGGCTGTTGTCTCATGTTTCTCACTCCTGAAACTGTAAGTGGAAATGCAATCTTTTCATTTTCCCCAAAGTTGATGTTTTTTGTTTGGGCCATTTAATAAGGAATGTCTGACAAAAGTGAACTGTCTGACTCAGGTGCAGTAATTGCCACAGAAATTGGTTTTGGTGTCTTTGGGGAATTCTGCAGTTGAACCCAGAAGGCATCCTTATCAAGTAGCGTGTTCCAACACTTTTACAAATTCTAAGAGCCTCAGATATCACTGTTTTCCTTTGGAGCGATATTTTGTTATTTTAGTAAACTTTCAAGGGGCACTGCCACTTTGCTGCACTGGCTTCCTAGTGAGATACAGTGTTACTATCTTAAGTCTTTTTTTAAAAAAATTGAGACAGGGTCTCACTGTATCGCCTAAGTTGGATGGAGTGCAGTGGTGTGATATTGGCTCACTGCAGCCTCAATCTCCTGGGCTCAATCTGTCCTCCCACCTCAGCCTCCCAACTAGCTGAGACTACAGGCGCACCACCACGCCTGCTACCTGGGCTCAGTCAATCCACCTACCTCAGTCCCCCAAAGTGCTAGATTTATAGGCATGAGCCACAGTGCCTGGCCAAGTCAGGCCCTGCTACAGGATTTTTTGTACATGATCTGAAATGTTGTCTGCACTTGAAGGATCTCTTAGAAGGGTGTCTGAGTTCCTACTGGCATTGAAAAGGAAGGAAACTTGAAGCTAGGCATCTGTTTGATTCCCAGGCTGCTTTCATGTTACTTAATGCTGTCAGATCATAAAGGGAATTCATTTCTATTCCTCAACTTCTAAATAACTTCACACGATTTACAGTTGACAAACAGCACACTGGGACTCTTCTTGCATTTCATTGTTTCTGTGGAAAATTGGTTGATAGAGCATCACCAAGTGTATGGCTTCTTATCCTCAGGCATTTCTTCCACCAACACTGGCGATGGTCCACTGTGCACAGAGCTCTGGGTTAGAGAAGGAACCCTGTTCCTTTTTTCCACAGTTCTGTTATCTGGTTACGCTCTGACCTAGAGGAAGATGCGGGTATGATTTTAAACAGTCTTTACCAGTGCACGGTTTCACCTGCTGGTAGTGGGTCTTTACCAGTGCACGGTTTCAGCTGCTGGTAGTGGGTCTTTACCAGTGCACGGTTTCAGCTGCTGGTAGTGGGTCTTTACCAGTGCACGGTTTCAGCTGCTGGTAGTGGGTCTTTACCAGTGCACGGTTTCAGCTGCTGGTAGTGGGTCTTTACCAGTGCACGGTTTCAGCTGCTGGTAGTGGGTCTTTACCAGTGCACGGTTTCAGCTGCTGGTAGTGGAATTTCAGAAGACCGTTGTTCTTCGAAGTCAGGGGTTATCCAAGTGTGGTGTGCAGACCAGCAGCATCAGCATTAACTGGAAACTTGTTAGAAATGCAAATTCTCAGGATTCACTTCAGACCCACTGAATCCGAAACTCTGGGCATGGGATTCAGCAGTCTGCATTTCAATAAGCCCTCTGGGTGATTCCGATGCACATCAAAGTATGAGAAGCACAGTATAAGATATTGGTGTAGTTTCCTTTTTCCCCCGATCAAAAATATCTGAAGAAGCTGAGAAGTGCTTCAATATAGTTACTAATAGTGCATTATAAAACATTTATTTATTTAGTAAACATTTATTGAGCATCCATTAAG
Organism: Homo sapiens; assembly: GCF_000001405.40. Lineage (NCBI taxonomy): Eukaryota > Metazoa > Chordata > Mammalia > Primates > Hominidae > Homo > Homo sapiens. The sequence continues at coordinate 88,012,638 of NC_000015.10, read as the reverse complement.
TTCTAGGTTCTGTATTGGGTGTTAGGAGCACAAATAAACCAGCAAATGGCTCATTCTGCTGTGGTTGTTTTGGTATGAACATATAGAAATACTTTTTTGTGACAGTGATATAAACAAGAGGTTCTCAGCCTCATTCTCACCCTGCCTGTGATTTCCGTGCTATTTCTGGGCCTCTCCAAATGGGCAAGTTTGCCAAAGCTCGGGGTCAGAGTGTCCTGAGTGAGAAGGAGGATGTAAGCAAGGCGCAAGAATGAGCCATGGCTGGGGGAATGTTGCCAGCTCTGCATTTTATTTGTGAATAATAAGGAAGGAAGTGAGAAGGTTTGTGTTTTAGGTTGTGTTAATACGTTTCCCTTATGTCAAAACCACCAACTCCTAGCACCCTGTCAAAATGGCTGCACTGAAATATCACAGTTCGTCGAGGATCTCATTGTCTTATAGGTTCGTGGAGGATGTAGAGATGGCAGGATGGCAGCCAAAGAGCTGAAGGTGGGATTCTGTGAAGAACAATGCATGCTCTCTCCTTCATGCTGCACAAGGCCGTAGGGTACAGGGTGGGTGAGCTCTGTTGGCTTGAACATTGGAGCCTAGACTTGCTGCTGTGCTCTCTCCCCATGTTTCTGTGTGTCTGTCATAAGGTGGGACTAATGGGAGGATCTGCCTCACTGGGTCTTCGTGTGTGTTAAATGAGGTAATGTACGTAAGGGATTTGGAATAGCTGCCTGTGTTTAGGAAGAAATGGCTCACTTCTGGCTGTCAGCACTATTACCATAGTCTGCCTTAGTTATACTACAGAAGAAATTCACTTCTGCACTACTGGGTCACCCCAGTGGCAGGCGAAGGGAGGGGCAGTATCTGGCTGTGCAGACTTTCCCTGACATTACTGATAAATCAACTTTCCCATAGAGTAATGTGCGGTGGGAAGTGTCTCCCCATGTAGAAGCTGGTGTCCTATTGTGCTGACGTAATTCAGTGGCCTGCTCATGCATACACTGCCAGGATGTGTATATCTTCAGCTGCGGCTTCTTTTCAGGGATAGACCCAACTCACCATGACCCAACCCCAAACTTCACCTCATTGCCAAAGTCAAGGAGAAGATTTTGCCAGAAAATATCAGATTACTGAGATTTTAATTATGATTTCCAAATGTTCTGAAATTATAGGAAGGTAGCAAATGCCCCATAGTGTGTTGAGTTGAGACATCTAACCTCTTCCTGTTTAATATGGAAATGTGCATATTTTGTAAGTCCTTACAGACTTACTAGTAGAGTCACATTCTCATTCATTCCCAGATAAACTTTCTTAAATCCTGTCTATTTTGATTTCTTAAAGCAAGCTGGAGACTGAGCTTTCTGTTGGTGATGAATAGGAATTCTAGACAGCAAGAAGCGAGAGGCTGACCTGGTGGAGGGAACAACAGATACAAAGGTGTGGAGGTGTTTTCTGGGGACACTCAGGAGCTCTGGATGAGTGGGGTGGAAGGTGTGTGGGTGGGATCCAGTCATGATGGCCTGTGTGGCATGCTTGTTCATTCCAAGCCATTTGAAGATAATACTGGATAAGAAAATATCCCTCAACAACCCATGGACCAGGAAGGAACGAAAAGAAAAACATGTCCAAAAGGATGGATTTTTTTTTATCCCTTCATGGGTAGTGTGGTGTGACGGCAAAACCCTGAACTGAAAATTTGCATTTTGGGAAGTCATTCATGTAGGGAGTGAATTAGAATGCAAGCCAGATCCAGGTAACTGCTGTGAATGCATGATGTGGTGGCAGGTGAATGAGTTAGGCACACGGAGATGTGTCTGTGAGTGGTACAATTAGCCCGGCTGTTTCCCAGGTTGCTTCTAGTGTGATAATACTTTGATTTTGTGTGTGTGTGTGTGTGTGGGTGTGTGTGTAAATTCCAGCAGTGCTAGAGGTAAAAATACATTTAGCAAGTTCTGTTATTGGCTCTTAAGTGGACAAAAATATAATGCATATTTTAAAAATAAAATTCTCCTTATTCAATAGGTTTATTACATTGCTTTTAGGAATAAAATCTGTTAGTAATATATAAATATCTTCACCATGTTATTCATCATTTGCCAAAAAAAAAGCATAGTTTCATTCTTCCCATCCTTTTCCTTTTCTTCCGGAAAAATTACTAAAAAGCTTGGAAAAAGAACTACCAGTTTATTTTACATAAATTGTTCTCCTTTCCCCAGGATACTCATATCTTAAATCATTATAGAGGCGGTGGTTGGAGCCTTGAGAATGAATTCACCCAGAATGAGAAATTGTAGAGAAGACCCGAAGTTCCAAGCCAGGACCCTGGACTGGAGCCGTGTTTTAGAGAAAGAAAAGAAAAGCAGATGGCAGGGCTATTAGAACGGGCAAAGGTGGAAAGAGTTTTCACAAGAGAGGTGATGTTGGAGGCTGAAGGAGTAGACAGAGACTGGACCCTCAAGTTGGGTTAGGAGCTGAGGCCTGGAAGCCTGGACTACAGGGGTGAGGGAGATCCCTAGATTGCTGGGATCTAGAGGGGGCTGGTCATGCCAAAACAGGCCAGAGAACAGAATAAATGGACAACATGGCCACTGAGCTTTTGCTTTGTAGATTTGAAAGAGATTTGGGGGCAAGCTCGACATCTAATCATTTGGAAGAAGATTTATTCTACTTTACTTTCTCCATGATGTTTTTTGGCTTGGATAAGTTTGGTGGATCTGAGGACAAAGGAATCCACTATATTGTTTGGAAGGAAAAGCAGTCTGTAGTGTGCTTTTTTCTCACTGGATCTGAGGAGATTCTGAGAACAGGAGCAGAGGTGCCTCCTGTAACACTGCAGTGGAGAGAAGGGTAGAGGCTACCTGTCCTAGTAGAAAAGTCTGGATTTGAGTTTCAACTCCAGCTCCAGTGCTTACAAGCTGCAAATCCTTTCACAGGTCATTTAACATCATATCTGCAAAGCAGCATCTTGTAGGGCTCCTGGAAGATAGACAGGTTGCAAAACAGCAGCAGGAGGGTCATGTGCACCCTATAGGGGTGTGTCCTGTGGCCTATGCAGAGCGTATCATTCTTTTTGAATTGGTTGCTAGCAAGTAAAACTTGACAAGGTTCACACAAAAAAATCTCTGCATTTCCAGTTTCTCTTGAAAGATAGAAGGATCTGTCAAAATTGGCTTGCATTTCTGCATGGCAACCATTAGGTGGAACGTAGAAGCAGTGGACCTTTTTCCAGAGCTTGTGTTCCCCTTTTTGCCAGAGTCTCCTTTTCTCCTTATTGTCTTACACCCAACTCTTTCTGCTCATCTACACTGCTCACCTGGCTTTTGTGGCCATTTTAGTTTGTGATTCTCTCTCTCCATTTTAAAAAAATAAGGAATAAAGGAAATAAATGCAAAGTGTTCTGCATATAGTAATAGCTTCATACATTCAATGTTAGCTAATATCATCATCATCAAAATTATCTTCATAGTTTTAAGCAATATGAAATTAATGTCCCTGATATGTCACTGAGGTAGGGGTTTCTCCATTGCCTCTTTAGCTATAAGCCTCAAAAACATGCAGACAATGACAAGTCTCTTCCCACTCAACTGGGGATCTCTTCCTTCTCAACTAGAGGTCCCCTGGAGGCAGAAAGAAAACAAAATCAGGAATCTGTTCTTCTTTAACCTGAGAGTAGAAATCCTTCTTCAGTCCTAATTTTTTTCTTCTCTAGGCCCGAGGGGGGCTGGTCTGTGAAGTCTGGGACATCTGAGCTACTGCTAATGGAAAGGGAATCTTCCAGCAGGGAGAGTGAAGGGAGGTGCTAAACATGGAGGTGGATCTTATATATTCCATTTCCGTTAGTGGTCAAGATAATATTTCAGTAATTGATATGCCTTTATGAATAATGGAGTGTGGATCAAAAGAATTGTAGCGTCTGTTTAATATGAAGAATCGCTGGGGGCCGAGCCCTGGTTGCTCCTCATCAGAACTGCACTGCCACCAAGAGCCTTGAGTGTCAGGAGACTGGGACTCAGAACTGGGAACTTAGTAGAATTTAAAATGTGAAGCACTTAAAGGTCATATAGTTCCATGGATAGTAAATATGTGTCCTCAGGAATCTGCATTGGAATCAACCGGGAGCTTTTAGAAACCACTGTGTCCTAGGGCCTAGGGTTCTTGGACCACTGTGTCCAAGAACCTCGGAGATCCTGGTTCTTGGTCTTTGTGTGGGGTCTGCCAGCTTCTCTCGGGGCTCACATGTACAAGTGAATTTGGCACTTGCATCTACTCTTGTTGCTTTACAGATGAGGAAACTGAAGCCCTGAGTGGTTAAGATACTTGCCCCAAGAGACCTAGTGAGTTGGTGGCATTGGTAGAAATAGAACCAGGTGTGCCCCACTTTCCTTTTTCACCTTAAATTTACCAGCTAACATTGAACACATGGAACTTCTCCAAGAGCCAACCCTGTTATGCTCTAAGGTTCTGGGAGTGTATTTGCTCTCTGTGAGTTTTAGGATTCTGCTCTTTTTCTTCTTCTGGAGAGATCCAACCCAAATTAATTTTAGTTACTTTGCTTCAGGGGACACTTCTCTTCTGAATAGGAACCTCTCTCTAGTGTATGGGAATAGTTTTGTTCCCTTAGATCTCTGTATCTCTAGAGATATGTGGCCAAGTCATCCCAGTAGATAATTCCTTGGCAAATCTTCTGTGCCCATGATTCTAGGAAGCTACAGTCATAAAGGAGCATTTTCTTGGTAACAAAGGTCTAGAAATGCAGCATCATAGGGTATAAGGCACGTTAGGGGTCCTATTCATCCACCCATTTTACAGACGAGATTACTGAGGCATAGAGAGATCAAGTGGATTGCCCAAGAAACACAGCTGGTTTGTGTGCAGAAGACAGGAAGAATTAGAACTCAGGTCTTCAGATTCCTCTGCCCAGTGATTGCCTTGATTTCAATGAGCACATCTCTGGTGGTAGAATTTCACATGCCTGGAAACAGGCTTAAGACAAAAGATAAAACAGGCTTCCCAGGCACAAACCTTCTCTTGTTTCTCAACAAGTCCAAGTTAGAAAATCTTAGGATTGAAAAAGATACAACAGATCCTTGTGGGTGTGAGTCTCCTGTCCATCCCTTATAGGTGGCCATCCAATTTCAGATCGTTTTTCTAGTGACCAAAAGTCACTCTTTCCAGAGTGTCCAGTCTCCTTTCAGGCAGCTCTAATTGTGAAAAAGGTTGTCCTATCCTGGCCCAAGAATCATCTTTTTGGGGACCCATTCCCTGGTCCTGATTGTTCTGCCTGAAACCACTTAGCCAACAGTATGGTATTGTGAGCAGGATTTGATGCTGGGCACAACTGGGTTTTGGTTCCACCCTGCCGACTACTGGTTATGTGTCTTGGACTAGTCACTTCAGTTCTTTAAGCCTTGCTTCCTTGTCTGTAAATAAGGATAACAGAATGCCCATATAGGATAGTTATTATGAATATAACTCAAGCTATCATTGTATCATACCTAGAGCACATCCCAGCACATCAACCCCTTGGTTCAGGCTTGTCCACATTTTGGAGGCCGGGGGTCATGTCTCTCCTCACGCTAGGTTTTTTCATTTTTGTACTAAACCTTGCCATGGCCTCCATTTGTCCTCATGTGGTGTCAGTTGACACAGGTGGGCACAAGTGCTCCCTGTGCCTCTCCCAGCTGAGCAGACTCTCCTGAGATGGGTCTCAGTTGCTTTTTCACGCATGAGGAAGGCAACGTTAAAATTACTCGTGGGGTTATCTTAGTGGCTCTCTGATGGTGCTGTGTTCTGAAATCCACAGTTTGGAAACTAGCCGTCATGGGCTGTGCATGTGTGAGTCTGTATGTCATGTGTGCATTTGGAAGCCCAGCTGTGTGCCTCTGCGTACTTCTCTCCCTGTGTGCATGTGTTGTGCTCCTGTGTGCTTTCCCACAAACCTCAGTGTTCAAGCTACGGATGTACTAGCCCGTTTTCTTTTACATCAAGGAGATGCTCACTGCTTCTTCAAATCCCAGAATCATGCCATCCCATGGGGCAGGGCTTTTTGGTTCATCTCTTATTTCCACCTGAAGCCACATGTGTCCTGTGCCTGTGGAGGGCTGCTGCCCCCAGATAGAGCTGCCTCTCTGCTGAGGCTGCCACCAGCCACCAGCAATCCCTTTTCATGTGACCTGCAGTTGTGCATGATGATCTCTATCAATCCTTTTTCCCCAGGCTCCTGGTAGTGCATAGCATTGCACCAGGTGCTTCAGGAGAAAAGCTGCCTCCACTGCTAATCTGAAAAGCACTTTGCCTGGAAAGACACCTGAGACGTGTAAGATATTAATAGCTGCAGAAGTTTCATCCCTGTGTAATTTAAATCCCTTTCCCGAGGAACACTCTTACGGTGGGGGTGGAAGAGAAGGAGAGAAAAGCCTAGAATAATTATGAGAGGTTGTGGGAAAAATTTTTTTGGGGATGACTGAAATATTCTAGTTTAATCATCCACCCTGGTGCTTGCTGGATTTGGTAATGAACATTTTTACTTTCTCCTTAAAGTCAGAGGCTATTTTGACAGCTACAGATGCTGTAAATTACAAGTGTTCTGATATGGTCCTGTGAGAAGCTCTTGAAAAAGTGTTCCACTAAATAAGTTTGGGAAGGGCTGTAAATACCATCTGCCTCCTAGTGAGCCCCAGTGCACATCGGCATTTGAGGGGATGAGAGATCCTTCCTACAGAAACCTCTTATGCTCTGGTTATCCTTGGATTTACCATATTGATGTGAAGATAGATTTCCTCAAATGTATTGCCCTATCTCTGATAGGTTGCTAATAATGTTCAAGGGTAAAAACTTTGTTGAAGGGGAATGGAATGTTATGGAAATTGAAGTGTAGACTGTGTAGTTGTTGGGGTAGATGGGGGAGGGTCTCAGGCTTATTTTGGTAAGAGAGGGAGACTGCCTCCTAGCACCTTTTTCTGTGCTCTGGCCCTTAGGCAGTGGGATATACAGATGTCAGGTATTCCAGGATTTGTTGAAATCTCTCCTTTGGAGAGATTTGAGGTGGTCTGTTCCATGCATGGAGTCTAAAGTTGAGACAAGTCAAGGCAGTTATCACACAGAGTGCAGTGGGAGAGCCATGCAGAGGGTAAGATCAGGTGGCTTTGTAAAGGAATCCATGCAGAACAGTGTGTTTTAGGGCGGACAGACTTTAGGCTTTAAGGGCAGGCCCTTTGCTGGACCCATTGACAAAGTCACTGACAGCTGTTTGGAACAATTGCCTAGGAAAGCCTGTCCCCACAAGACTCTTGTCTTAACACAGGCATCCTAGGTGGTGATATTGTTACTCCATGGACTTCTCTGGGGCCATCAGAAGTCCTGAATGAACTGGGGGTCAAGCTCATGAAGCATCTGGCTCCTACTCAGGAAAGCATGGCAGCCTGTACTTAGGCTTCTCTGGCAGCACCAGGGTGTGTCCAGAAAGCATCAATCAGGGAAGAACAGTGTGAGTGCCTAATGAGGATGGATCCCAGTGAGCAAAGAGACCCAAATCAATAGAGGGAAAACAAATGCAGGTGAAAACCTTTGGAGTAACACGAATATAGGGTTAAAACCCAGCTCTACTTTCATACCTTTGCACAAATTACTTAAGCTCTCTAGGCCTCATTTTTCTCATCTGTAAGATGAGAATAATAAATACCACTTTGCTAGGCATTGGGAGGATGAAATGATTTCACACATGGAATACTCCAGCACTGTGATAAATTCCATCCATTCATTCTGCTGCCACAGATCAAGAGGAGTTGAATGATAGTGAGACCATCATTCACTTGAGCCAATCCTTCCCCTAGTGCTACGATTCTGATCCTGTTCACTTTTACCCCACTTTTTCAAGGGTGAGTCTCACAGAGCTTTTAAGTTTGGCCTCTCACACTCTCCCACACCTGCTAAATCCTTATAAATGTTTCTTCTCTTCCCTCAAACTTCCCTCACTGTCTTATTTGTTTCTTGCCCTGTGGAAGGCAGTAGGGTACACATTCTTCTTAGTGTAAATATGCCTTGAATTTGCACAAGGGCAGGACAATGTGTTCTTTTTTCCAACAGCTGTTTTGATGATGCTTGGCAACATGTTGGTATTTTTGGCCCGAGTAGCACATATTGAGACCACATCCTCAAGGAATACTTTTTGATCTCTCCCAAGTCTCTTTTCTAGACTGAATGGTTTGGATTTTCCATTGATGAAAAACATTCCCCTTTTCTTGCCCACATGAGAGTTTATCTGCCCGTTTTTCTGATCATCTCTCTCCTCTTGTTTACAGCACATGCAAAAGTCTCTTGGGCTCTTCCTATAGTTTATAACTTTTGTTTTAGTTTTATATTACCTGGAATAGCTTAGGATCATCTCAGAGGGACTCTGGCATAGTCCCTCTTGGAGATCAGGGATGCCAGGAGGGGCATTAAGGATGGAGAGATCAGGTGAATAGTGAAGGAGTGATACTGGACAAATTGTAAAGCTCTAAAGCTCCACCAGGTGGAGGAGGGCACAGGTGCTGAAAGACAAGAGAGGTAAGGGAAAGCCTAGAATCAAGTCAGAGGCACAGCAAACAGAAGTACCCCAAGCAAGCCAGTTAGACCAAGAGAGAGGCTCATTGTCCTGTCTTTTCTTTCTTATGGGTGCGTGGCCCTGAAGCAGGAGATTCTGCTCTTGAATGGGAAAGGGTTTTCAAGAGACTCTTTGACCAGTTCTCCATCCATGAGAATACATCTCAATTACCATGGAGACTTCCATCTTAAAAATAGCCATTGAGTGGAATCTTAGTGCAAAAAAAAAAAAAAAAAATCCAAATATATCATAACAGTTGGTTCCTTACACCCTTGTGCCTATTTACTCTTTTGAAGATTTTCATGAGGTTTGACTTTTCCTTATGGAGAAAGTGTTTGTTCCTCCATATGTTATATTGGCTTAGCAATGAGTGATTCCCTGGTTGAAACTTTGTTCCACAGTCCTCTTTCTTCTCAGCGGAGCAGTGCATTGTAGTAGTTAGCTGTGTGATTGTTGGAGGCATCCTACCTGGGCTCAAATCTCAGCTCTGCATCCTGGTAACCATGTAACATTGGCAAGTTACTTAACCTCTCTCTATGCCATAGTTCTTTCACCAGTAAAATTAGACCAATATGTTACCTACTTCATGGGATTCTAAGGTTTAAAGGAAATAAAACCTGCCAAGGACTCAAAACAGTGCCTGGTGCAAAGTTAGCTCTCAGATCATGCCAGTCAAGAATTTTCTCTAGGGAGCTCTGACGCACACTGGCATACAGTTTACCTGTGAGACCTTGGCTCTGCTGGAAAGGACCTTAACATTTTGGTCAGCAGGTCTACAGGTTCATAGTATTGTTCAAAGCTCATAGTTGGCTGCTTCTACGCCTCCCAGTTTATCTCCTATATAATTGTCAGTTAGATCTAGACCATTCTGTGTGTGTGCCACACTTGTGTGCTTCAAAAGACAAGTGAGTGGCTAGCATTTGATTGCCTTGTAAAGAATTAGTCAAATAACTTAATGATTTTTTTTCTAAATCTTTCTTGCTTCTTCTCAACCTTAAGCATGCCCTTTGCTCTGTGATTATTGGGTGGAACCAAAGATTCATGTGCTGGCACGCTGCCTTTGATAGATTTAAAGTCTTCTCTCTGATCTTGGCGGATTTTTGAAAAGTGGTACTTGAGGTCTGGGACTCATTGAATATCTGATTTGAGCTTGCTGGCAAAGGTCCCCACTCCCCAGGCTTCCTTCCTCTTTCTCTGGCTTGGGGAGTCTGCTTTTTGTTTTTTTTCCTTCAATAGGCCGTAGTTGTGATAGGCTGAGATTCACCTGGTTAGTCATGCTTGTTTTAATTTTCTGTTGGTTTAAAGGATGGATATTTTGATTCATAAGAATCTTGTTTTCTCCGGGCTTCTAGCAAGGTTTTTTTTTTTTTTTTGCATAGCTTCTCATGTTTTCTGTTGAGTCTTAGTTTTTAAAAAACTGTCTCTTTTTATTTCAAGGTGAGAGTTACAGTGAAATTGTATACCTTTGTTTGTTGCTTTGTTTGCCATTCCAGGATCAAAAATCTATCCTAAGAATTAAAGCAGAGATCTCAGATTCTCTGAATGTCAGCTTCTAGTTTGGTGTTAGTTAGATATATTAATTGGGGAAGGGCTTCCCTACCCTCTGTAGTTCCTAGCAATCTTAGTCATCAGGGATGAGGGCTGGGGCACATAAACACTATCACAGATTCACCATTTCCTTGAGGGCAGGGTCACTTTGCTGGTGGAAATTTTTTGAACAAGGCCTTCCATTATCCATCCTTGGCTGAACTTATGTCTTTCTTTTGAGATTTTATGATGGTACAGTTCTCCTGTGTGAGCCTGAATGCTTTATAGCTTGAGGAGTTGAGAAAACTCGAAATAGTCCAACTCTTAGATTTTCAGTTTGGAAAAAAAAAAAAAAAAAAAAAAAAAAACAACCACTATCCTTCAGAGAGAGAAAATCCCTTTACAATACACCTGGCCAACATTATCATCCTTCTCTGGGAATAATTCCAATGATGAAGAGTTCACAATCTCCCATGGACTTTATTATATCAATGCATAGATATCTATACTCATTTTTACTCTATTTTTAAATCAAATATCATTTTCATTCAACAACTGGCATGTATGTATGTATATTGATTGGAAGAATTAATATTATTAATATACCAGTACTCCTTAAATTGACCTGCAGATTTAACCACAGTCTGTCAAAATTCAGGCCTCTTTTTTGCAGAAATTGACATGCTGATCCTAAAACCTATAGGAAAATCCAGAAGATTCAAAATAGCCTAACAAACCTGAAAAAGAAGAACAAATTTGGAGGTTCTAACTCCTCAATCCCAAAACTTATTACAAAGCTACAGTAATAGAGACGATATGGTACTGCCATGAGGATAGACATAGATCAATGGAGTAGAATTGAGAGTCCAGAAATAGACTTGTACTTTTGCGGTCAACTGATTTTTCAACAATGTTGCCAAAACAATTCAAAAAGGATATAATAGTCTTTTAAACAAATAGTCCTGGGACAATGAGCTATTCACGTGCTCATTGTGAACTTGGAACCCCTACCACATACCATATACAAAAATTAACTCAAAATGGATCTAAGACCTAAATGTAAGCATTGAAACAATAAAACTCTTAGAAGAAAACTTAGGTGCAAGTTTCTGTAGACTTGGATTAGGTAATGATTTCTTATATATGACACCAAAAACACAAGTAACAAAAGAAAAAATATATATATCAGACTTCATCAAAATTGAAAACTTTTTTGCTTCAGTGGACACCAACAAGAAAATGAAGAGGCAACCCACTGAATGGTAGAAAATATTTGTAAATCATATCTGATAAGGGAGTAGTATCCAGAATATATAAAGAACACTTACAACTCAATAAAAAGACAACCCAATAAAAAATGGGCAAATGGTTTGAATAGACATTTCTCAAAGAAGATATACAAATAGCCAATAAGCACAGGAAAAGTTGCTCATTATAATTAGTCATTAGGGAAATGCAAATCCACATTGTAATATCATTTTATACCCACTGGAATGGTTACAATAAAAAATGTTGGACAGTAAAAAGTATTGGTGAGGATGTGAAGAAAGTAGAACCTTTACACCTTAATGTTGGTAATATAAAATGATGCAGCTGCTTTGGGAAATAGTTTGACATATATTCAAAAAGTTAAACATTGAATTACCATATGACCTACCAATTCCACTTCTAGGTGCATAATAGAGAATTGAAAACGTGTTCATGCAAAAACTTGTACATGAATATTCACAGCAAGATTATTCATAATAGCTAAAAAGCAGAAACAGTGTAAATGTTCACCAACTTAAAAATGGACTAAGAATATAATATATCCATGGAATATTATTGAACCATAAAAAGGAATAGAGTATTGGTACTTGCTACAACATGGTTAAAGCTTGCAAACAGTATGTCAAGTGAAAGAAGCTAGATTCAAAGTAACTACATATTTAATGATTCAATTTCTATGATTTGTCCAGAATAAGCAAATCCATAATACCAGCAAGTAGATTAGTGGTTGTTTCCAGGGGTCAGAGGCACACAGGGTGATGAATAACTGCTAATGGATATGGTTTATTCATGTGTATGTGTGTATGTGTGTGTGGTATAGTTTTAAAGGGTGAATTTTATGTTTTGTGAATTATATTTCCATAAATGATTCTAAGAGAAAAAAACCCTGCCTGGTATACACTGCCCTATTGGAAGAGATTCTTGCACCTGACCTTGCATGAGCTCCTTGTTCGATTGTGAGAATTCTCAGAGGAGGGGGCTGGGGCCAGCATGACAGTGTTGAGGGTCTGAGTACTCAAGGCAGGGGCTATTTACTAACTAGTATGGACATATGTCGACATTTTAACAAAGAGTGTGAATATACAGCTACCTGTCCACTATTAGTCCCTACCTGTGTCTAAATCCTCAGACTTCCACTCCTGGATTACCCCACTGGGGGCAACAGAAAGTGTATATACACCCCTACACATTTCTTGAATATCACCATCATAGCACTAAGAAGTCTGATACTTGAATATCACCATCATAGCATTAAGAAGTCTGATAAGTATCACTATCATAGCACTAAGAAGTCCAAGCCCTGTACTCTCAGATCCCTAAGTCTGTGGGTCAGGAGCTGATTAAATCAGCATTTCAATTAATATTTTGGAGTAGGTCCTTATAGAGGATGGTGGAAATTTGTCTGGTTCTATGGAATCATATTGCAATGTAATAGAAATACCTCCTCCCTCCCTCTTTGATAAGAATCATTTGTATTCTTTAGTAAGCCTCTATTGTCTGTCCCAGTGCCATCTTCCTCATCTGAATTCAGAATTCCATGAGCCTATCCTAAGTCTGAAAGATGTAGTCTTAAAGATAAACTTTTCCAATTTAGTCATGTCCTCAGCTCCTTATCATGCCCCTATCCACAGCAGCTTTTTGTGATAGGGCCTGCCATATTCCTCCCAGGGAAATATCTACATGGCTCGATGCATGGGAAATAAAATTTGCATGAAGGAAGAAAAGACATCTACATGTTATTTATTCAGTGACATCCCATTTCATTGCAAAAAATGTTTGAGGTGCTTTGCAAAAATGCAAATGTAATGCAACAAAGATGAATAATGGGAGTGACAGTATCTGGTAATAGTGGGGGATACATGTAAGAAAATAAAATTAGTGGCAAGTTTAGACTACTAAGTACCTGCTGCTAGAGGGACCTTAGAGATCTGGCTCTGGGCATCCTAGTGGCCAAGGAACAAAGGTAAGCATCAAAGGTTACAGGCTGTCATTCAGAGGAAGAATATCTTTTCCATTGTTCAGAGGAATAGTGTGGGGATGCAGTATTATACTTTCCAGCTTCCTGACAGTAGATCTAACAGTGCACCTCTTAGGGGTGTTTGTTAAAATATCCTGTGATGCAAGTCAGTGGCTTCATGTCCAAACCCACTTCATAAAGTAGGTGGGTTGGCATGGGGGAGAGAAGCTTTGAGAAGCACCCACAGGAGCCTTTCATACCCTGGGCAGACTAAGGCACTGCTTGGAAATGGGGATCCTTTGGGAAGCCCCATTTTTGAGGATTGATTGAATTGCCTTCCTCCATTGCAGTACATCACCTCTGGGGCCTTACTGGTTGGCTTTTGCAGCCAGCAATCCTCCTCCCCCCACACTCCCTACCAGCAAGGCATTTCTTTCCAGGGTTATTGGAACTTCATCATGTGAGGCAGTAAGTCATTGCAGTCCAGAACAAATCTCACTTGACATTTTTATCTTGACTCTTCTGGGGGCCTTTAATTAGCATGATTGCAGTGCAGGCAATTGTTTCAATGGAGTCTGTGTTGCTCTTGGTTGGCATAATGGCTATTGAAGTTTCTCTATTTGCTGTTTCTGGCCATCCAGGAAAGATTCTGATTAAATAAGTAATTAAACTCCCTAATGTGGTATAATAAGGGGTGGTTGGCTGTGAGTTTACATGGATTAAAAATGCATCAGAATATGGATTCATATAGTTATAAAAGCATCACTGCTTAAAGTCCAATGTGACTTGTTTGCACGAGAGCTCCCAGGACTTCCAGAGCTCTACAACAGCCACTGTATAGACATCTGAAGCTGGCATCGCCACTGCCCCATAACACATACAGCCACCATGTCCTTGGCCATGTGGCCATGATGCACACAACTACAGCAGGCAGCTATGACATTCTCAGCTCTTGTTAATGGTCTATGGGCTTTTAGGAGCAGCATCAGTATATGTTATGGTTAAACATGGAACTCAGCTAGCATTAGTGGTCCTGATTCTCCCAGTTCCTGAATCATAAGCTGCAGTGAAAATTTCCTACTTGTAGCAGTGGTTCTCAACCAGGGTGATTCTGTCCCTAGGGGATTTTTGACAATGTCTAGAGACACTTTCGATGATCACAATGGGGTGGAGGATGCTATTCACATCCAGTGAGGAGAGACCAGGGATACTGCTAAATATCCCACAATGCTCAGGACAGCCCCCCAAAACCAAGAATTATCTGGTCCAAAATGTCATTGCACTAACATTCAAAGATAATTCCTACATTACCTTCTTTAGAGCTCATGATGTTTTTGTGACGGAGAAGGTACAAAAGTTTTATCTCCCTTTTACAGATTGGAAAACTGAAACTTGGAAAGACAGTGACTCTCCCCTGTCCCACAGGGCTAGACCATCATCTGGTTCTCATTCTACAGCTATTTGCACACGTTGTGTGGGATGGTGTGAGCTTTGGGGTCTCTACAAGTGTCCAAAAGGGGCACAAGTGTTATCTAAGTGCCTATGGCACATCTCTGGAGAAACTATGACCCCAGGTTTCTTACGTAAGAAACGTACCTCAATTTCATATTTTTTCCCTAGGAATCAAAGAACACATATCCATCAAAAGTATTGTATAATGATAACACTTGATCACATTTGACACTTGATACTTGAGATTTTTAGAATAAGAGTATATGATCTGCCAAAGAGAACTCATATAAAAAAAATATTTACTGCTCAAAATCTGTGTGTCTGTTTGTGATATATTTGCAGGTAAGATTTCCCTCCAGGCCCTGCCAATTTAGTGGAATAACAAGCGGGAGAAGGGTCATGCAGGGTGGTAAGAATGCAGTTGTATTCACATCCTCGTTGCCTGAGAATTTTGAAGGATATATAGAAGGAGGAGACTCTACCACAGAGAATGCATAGCAAATGTCTCATTGATGCTTCATCGCCTTCTCTCTCTTCTTAGGACACTCACGGCTGTCTTGTTGAATATTGTTTACAGCTCGCATTTGGAATTGGAATGTAATTCATGCCAATTGTTGCCAGACAATTGTATGAAGCACTGTATGCTTCACCCAAATATCTATAATCCCTTGGGTCTCCAAGGGAAGTATAGTTATCCCCATTATGCAGGTGGGAAGACTGAGCTCAGGAGGTTACTGGTGCCTGATCCACATCTGCCTAATGGCAGAACTGGAAGTGAAACTTAGAATTTGCTTACATTCCCCTTGACTACACTGCCATGTTAGTCACAGCAATTACATCTTACTCTTTGCTCCTCATTTAGGAAGAGGAAACAGGGCTGCTAGGCATTGAATGTGTTGTTGTATCTCCTGCCTCTTAAGGCAGTGAGTGCATTTGGGGGATAATAGGCACAGTGAGGTCCCAAAAGAATTCATCTACACACTAAAAGTTTATAAAATAAATTGACCTAACATTAACCTCAGTTCTTCCACTGATCTTAGCAAGTCTAAAGTGGCTCTAAACTGAGTAGAGTATACCGCAGTTCTTGGAACTCAGAGCTCCTCTGTGTGCTGCCATGCCTGGCTGGAAGAGCCTTATTTAATAGCAAGTGGCTTGCCTCAGGTCTGATGAAATAAAGTCAAGGGCATGAGGTTTCTAATTCATAGTTCAAGCATTGCCACACTTCTTTAAGCATTGCAGGCATGCTGTCCTGAGTTTGTGCTGAACACATCACCAACTTCTTTTCCGTTGCTCTCCTGTGTTGCTAATGGTCTTGTCATAATCACACTGGAGAACCCTGGAGCAGCCCAGACACTGCCTCCTCTCCCACCCCCTATGTTTAATCTGATGCCAAGTTTCTGATTTGCATAAGCTCTACCTTTGCATCCCTCTGGCATCCATCCTCTTGGTTCTCCTTCAGCGATCCCAGCCCTAATGTATCACGTGTCCAGGATGGTACTGTCACCGTTTAACCCAGGGGGCCACAAACTATAGCCTGCAAGCCCAATCCAGCCTGTTTCTGTACAACTCTTAAGCTAAGAATGGTTTTATTTTATTTTATTTTATTTTATTTTTAGAGACGGAGTCTCTCTCTGTCGCCCAGGCTGGAGTGCAGTGGTGCGATCTCACCTCACTGCAACCTCCGCCTCCCGGGTTCAAGTGATTCTTCTGCCTCAGCCTCCCAAGTAGCTGGGATTACAGGTGCGTGCCACCATGCCCGGCTAATTTTTGTATTTTTAGTAGAGATGGGGTTTCGTCATGCTGGCCAGGCTGGTCTTGAACTCCTGACCTCAGGTGATCCACCTGCCTCAGCCTTCCAAAGTGCTGGGATTACAAGCATGAACCATCACACCCAGCCGGTTTTTATGTTTTTAAATGGTTGGAAAAATTCAAAGAAGAATCATCTTTTGTAACACGTGAAAATTATATGAAATTCAAATTTCAATGTCTCTAAATAAATTTATTGGGACTCAGCCATGTTCATTCATTGCACATTGTCTATGGCTGCCTTCGTGCTGCAACGGCAGAGTTGAGTAGCTGCAACAGAGACCGTATGGCCTGAAAAGCCTATAATATTTACTGTCTGTCTCTTGACAGAGAAAGCTTGCTGGCCCCTGCCCTAGCTAGACCAGCCACTGCTGACCTTTCTCTGTCTCATCTTTCATTCCTTTTAATCTTTTCTCTGGTCATCCCCTCTTTGAAATCCTTCAAGACTCACCCATTGCCCAAAACTCTCAAGTTCCTTCATGATCTGCCCCCAAGCTAATCATTTCCATTTATTAATAGGAACTCCTTGCACTTCCCCAAGTGTGTCTTGTACTTCCCCACTATGGCTGTCAGTGTGGTGCTTTATTCCAGGAATAACTTCTCTTCCTATCTTCTTAGGAGAAAATCTTATGTCTCCTTTAGGCCTCATGGCAACAGCTGTCTCCTCCAAGAAAGCTAAGTCTCCTACTATTGCTACCTCTTAGGAATGCCCTAGCACTCTCCCTGTACTGCTTTTATTCCTTGAGGTTCTTTCTGTCACAGTCTGACTGTTTCAGCCTAGGTTGTGCAGTTTCTACTAGGGGTGAGATCTGTGAGGGCTAAGGCACAGATTTGGTGAGTGCAGGCTGGGTGTGTCTACCTGAGCAGGTGCTCTCTGGGCTCCATGGGACACTCTGCTTTCCCAGGTGTGTAATTCCTATGAATTTCCAGGACTTTTGTTCTCCTAAACCTATGTGACATTGTTTTGAAAGTGGGAAACAGAATTCAACATTTGGAAATTGATTTTTAACATTAATGTGAAAAGCCATTATCATTAGTTGAAGGTACATCACTTAATCTAAATCTCTTATCTAAGTATCTATCCATGTCTATATCTATTGACCCAACATCTGTCATCTTCATTTATCCATCTATCCATCTGTCAGTCTTCATCTCTATCTATTGATCCATACCAGTGCCCACATCTAAATTCCACAGCTGCAGTTCTAGCACTGTCACTTGATTGGTGATGTCCCATTTTTATGGAGTTACTCACAGATAGTCCTGCAACATCGTGTTCCTAATCTCCCTTACTGAGCTGCTTCCCATTTTTCCCATATTCCTGCCTTATGTTCCTGCCAAATTATGTACTTTCCTTCTCAGGGAAGAAACAATTCCTGTTTTAGTTTGCTAGGGCTGCTGTAACAAAGTGCCACAAACTGGATGGCCTAGAACAACAGAAATTTATTTTCTCGGTTCTGGAGGCCCGAAATCCAAGATCAAGGTGTCTGGAGGGCTGTGAGCCCCCTGAAGGCACTAGGGAAGGATCTGTTCCAGGCCCCTCTTCTAGCTTTGGTAGTTTGCTGGCAATTTTGGACATTTGTTGGCTTGTAGACACATTATGCAGATCTCTGCCTTCATGTTCACATGGTGTTCTGTGCGTGTGTATCTATCTGTGTTCACATTTTTCCTTTGTATAAGGACGTAGTAATATTGGATTAGGGCCCATCCTAGTGACTTCATCTTAACTTGAACATCTGCAAAGATCCCGTTTTCAAATAAGGTGACAATATGAGGTACTGTGGTGATGGTGTTTGAGGGGCACAATTCAATCCCTAACAGTTCCCTATTTGCTATGCTTTGTCTGTTGCTCCCGCCACATGGAATGTCTCCCGCTCCCCAGCCCATGCATTTCTGCCTGGTGACCATTTTTCTCACTGCCTCTTTCCCACCCGCATGTGATCTTATGACCACTCCCTCACTACAATCCCTCAGCTGTGGGTGTATGCCTCTCTCTTGCCACTCACCAGTGAAATACCATAATATAATCTGTTTTAGGACCCCATGACTAAACTTCCCATGCTCTCTTTTCCTTTTTACTTTCTCAGCTCCTGGAAGATTGATATTTAGGTATTTGCAAAATTATTTTTAGGTAAGCTTACAGAGGTATAGACTCCCATTCTTGGCACTGGGTTTTTAGCTCCTCTTTGCAGTCATTGTTTTTTACTCTTCTTACTCATCTTGATATTGCCTCTCCCTTTATCCAGCTCTGAACATAGTGGCCATGAGCATAGGAGGCCCTCAATGTGTGTTGGTTATTTGGAGATTTGGAGGACAGTGCAAGCAGGGATTTGATATACATTTGCTGGTATCTGCTATAGTGCCTGGCACTGCAAAATGCTGATGCTTGGGAGCTGTGTAGTATATATCTTCCACTCTTTTTCTAGGCCTTTGGGGGAGGTGATGACACCTGCACTGCCTAAACTGAGTATTTTGTGTGTGTGTCTCTGTGTATGAGTATGCTTCCATCAAATTAAAAAGGACCCAAAGAAAGGTGAAGAACTATTCTTCTCTACTGATGTACAATGGGACACCTTTCCTCCGTCTTCTTTTCCCCTTCATCACCTTCAGTAACTTCTTCATCATCACAAATCTTGGAATTCAGAGCCAAAAAATCCCAACTCAGAGGTTTATATTATTTGATTTTTTAGGGCCATAAATTTAGAATGAGCCAGCTATCTGATCCTATTAGCCACATCTTGATCTTAGATAATCTGCTTAAAATTGATACCACCCTGGAATGTGGACTTTACTGATTGCATTTCCTGCCAGATTCTGACTTTTGTCTTTTGCTCATCATATCCTAAATGGTACGGCCATGACTCCAAGGGAAGTTGAGCACCCTGGGGTAGCAGTTGGGACTTGAAGATGTTGGTTCCAGGAGCCATATGGCCAAGTCAGGGTAGGAGGCATTGATGTTAAGATATTTTTTTTCTTTCCTTACCTCAGAGTTATTTTGAAAGTAACATAATCATTTTTAAAGTCCTTAGAAGGAGAAATGCTTTGCAAGTGCCAAGATACTGTAGTGCAGCCTGAAGATAATGTGGCATATTGTTGTACAGATCACACACACACAAGTCAGATTACATGGTTCTGAAAAAACAAGACTTCAATTGTCTGAAATCCGTATCTATCACATGGGAAATAGAGAGAGCTGTTGGATTTGTTTCCTGCCCTTGGCATCTACATATAGAGGGGGTTAAGAACATGGGAGCTGAGATGGCAAAACCTGGATTCAAGTCCTGGCTCTGCCTCCCATTAACAGGGCAACTTGGCATGAATTACTGAGCATCTCTGCCCCTTCATTTCTGCATCCACAAACCAGGGTCCATACCAGTTCTCCCCTCATAGGGATGCTGAGAAGGTCAGATTAGAAAATCCATGCACAGCACTTTGCTCATTGCCTGGGCAAGTGAAAGTGCTTATAGATATTGGTTGTTGGTTTTTTTTTCCAAATAGTCTTATTAAGAAATGAAAAATAAATCCATGAACCATTTCATTGTAGTGTATGCGTCTGAAACAGTTCCAGGTAAGAGGAGAAGAATTATCAAACAGAAATGAACAATTAACTGCCAAGTGGCTTATACAGAGAGTGGAGTCTGAGCTGGGGGTGAAAGGATTGAACGGCAATTGGATGAGAAAAATAAATTAGAAGATAAGCATTCAGGACAGTGGAATACTGTGGAAGTGAGGACAGAAGCTGAAAGGCATACAGTGTGGTCAGAGTTTATGTGAACAAGAGAGTGTGAGTAGGGAAGGAGTAGATGATGAGACCAAATGGTTGGCTGGAGATAGAGTATGTCAATATCAGGATGGCAGCCTAAGCTGTTTGGGCATCACACAGTGGCACTTTCAAGTCACTGGTGGCTTCTGAGTGATTGGTGAATGGAATTTTTATTGATATGATTGGACAATAATACATAAAATGGATTAACTTAAGGACTGGAAGCTGGGAAACATGTTAAGAAGCCCCCAAACAGTGGCCCTAAAATAGGGTTGAGTGATGAGGAAGCATAAGCCAAGATTTGTTCATCATCTAGTGTGTGCCATGTGCCAGATACTGACCTGGGTGCCTTTAAAATTAAAAAAAAAAATCACAACAGCATCTGGGAGATAGACAAAGATATCCTCAGATATCCTCAGAAGGGGAAACTGAGGCTTAGGGAAGTTAAGTAATTTACTTAAAGTTACTATCTCTCAACTTTTCTGCCATGCTTTGCTAAAGTGGGGATCTAAATTAAAGAATGTGTTCATGAGATATTCCAAAACAAATCATTGAAATCAGGTGTTTGATATGGGGAATTAGAAAGGCACTGGCAAGAAATGAAGATGACTCCAAGAGTTTGAACTTAGGTAATTATAAGCATGATATGACTTTAGAGAATTGGCCTGTCAGAAAGGGAAATTGTTTGGGATGGGGATTGTAGAAATGTTGAGTTTGTTGTTATGATGCACAATAATGGGAATGCCAAGAAGCCAGCTGCCATTGTGAGAATAAAATTCAGAAGAAAGTTTGTGCTGGAGATAAAGGGCTAGAAGTCACCGCACAGGAGATGGACATTAATGATGGAGGGTACAGGGAGATGGAGAGAGGAGCAGACGGCTAGAGCAGCATTTCCCACATTTTACTCTGCATAGAAATCATCTGAGGATTCTGTTAAAATGCAGATCCCAATCCGGTAGGTTTTGGATGGAGCCTGAGATGCTGCATTTCTGACAAACTCCTGGTGATCCTGTTGCTGTCAGTCTGAGATCCAAACCTTATGTAGCCAGGGGTGAAAAGACTGATGCTTGAGAAACTAGCATAGGGACCAGTGAAGGAAGAGAAGCCAACAGAAAGAAAGGGAGCAGAAAGGTAGGAAAATGATGAGGATGGTACAGTACTCTAGGTGTCATGGGGGGTGTGGGATGGTCAAGGTGCCACATTCTGTGGAATGAACAAGGTAAAATGATCAAAGAGTGGAGAAAATCTAGTCATGGGGTAACCATTGGTGACCTTCAAGAGGTCAGTTTTGTAAAAGGATTAGAACTTGGATTATGGGAATGTAATCATGAATGATCTGCAAAACAGTGGAGGTTAGGGTTGGAATTAAGTTATGCAAATTGTTGGTATCCAAAGGAACTAAGAAAATGGGATGAAAACAAATGGTATGGTAAAGTGGGGGACATTGCTCCATCATTTACTAGGTAAGAGACTGAGAGTGTGGGCATACATTTGTTTGGTATGTGTGCACATACCCAAAGATAGAGATAAACATATATAGATTTCTGTACAAAAGGGAATATAACAGCAAAGGCAGAAGATGTTGAAGAGACAGGAAATAATTGAAGAAGGAAGTTGGAGATAATATTGAAGGTATCAGTTAAAGGGTTAGTTTTGGAAACAAAATAAATTTTTCTCCAATATAGAAAGGCAAATAATTGGGCTCTGGTCAGGATGGTACCATAAGTTTGTGCTTTAGTTTCCTCCTCTGCTCCAAATATGTAACAATGACAAAAATTATAAAAAGACATGGCTGGGCCCCAAAACAAGATAAATAATCTGTGAACAAGAAATGGTACAGAAATAAAAAGTGATGTGCAGAGTTACATTCATTGTTACGCTGGGTTCCAAGTCTAGAATCAAAAAGTCAGGGCAGGAATTTAGCTCTGGAGGGTATCTGCAGAACGGTATGTGCTCCACATTGTCAGAGGATCAGAGCTAGACTCACTGCTTCAAGTCTTGGGGTGGGGATAGTGAAGAAAAGAGTCTGAAAAGATAATGTGGCTGACCCCTATCTGGGTTCCTAATAGGAACCTGTGAGCCTGAGGAAGTGGGAGAGAGACGATAAAGTTGTAGCTTTGAGACCATGAACTGACTTAAGCCGCTCAACTAGCTGAAGACTGTTGTACTCTACCCTCAGTATTACCCTTGTAGGAGGACTCCAAGTCATTATTATAGGATTTGGTTTATAATTGAAGTCCCAGGAAGCTAGATGGAGGTAACAACAACAGCAGCAACAAATTAGACAATATGAGTGAGAAGAAAAGGAAAAGGGAAAAAACAAAGAAAACCAGAAAAAATTATTTTCACTCAAAATGAATTAAAGTGAAAAATCTTGAAACAAGCCCAGGCATGATGGCTCACACCTGTAATCCCAGCGCTTTGGGAGGCTGAGGTGGGCGCATCCCTTGAGGTCAGGAGTTATAGACCAGTCTGGCCAACATGGTGAAACCACATCTCTACTAAAAATACAAAAATTAGCCAAGTGTGGTAGTGTGCACCTGTAATCCCAGCTACTTAAGTGGCTGAGGCATGAGAATCTCTTTTTTTTTTTCGTGTCAGCACTAGATCTATATGATTTATTTTCTTGGACTTTTTTTTTATACTTTAAGTTCTAGGGTACATGTGCACAACGTGCAGGTTTGTTACATATGTATACATGTGCCATGTTGGTGTGCTGCACCCATTAACTCGTCATTTACATTAGGTATATCTCCTAATGCTATTCCTCCCCCTCCCCCAACTCCACAACAGGCCCCAGTGTGTGATGTTCCCCTTCCTGTGTCCAAGTGTTCTCATTGTTCGATTCCCACCTATGAGTGAGAACATGTGGTGTTTGGTTTTTTGTCCTTGCGATAGTTTGCTGAGAATGATGGTTTCCAGCTTCATCCATGTCCCTGCAAAGGAAATGAACACATCATTTTTTATGGCTGCTTAGTATTCCATGGTGTATATGTGCTGCATTTTCTTAATCCAGTCTATCATTGATGGACATTTGGGTTGGTTCCAAGTCTTCACTATTGTGAATAGTAACACAATAAACATACGTGTGCATGTGTCTTTATAGCAGCATGATTTATAATCCTTTGGGTATATACCCAGTAATGGGATGGCTGGATCAAATGGTATCTCTAGTTCTAGATCCTTGAGGAATTGCCACACTGTCTTCCACAATGGTTGAACTAGTTTATAGTCCCACCAACAGTGTAAAAGTATTCCTATTTCTCCACTGTTGGACCCAGGAGGTGAAAGTTGCAGTGAGCCAAGATTGCACCACTGCACCCCAGCCTGGGTGACAGAGCCAGACCCTCTCTAAAAAAAATAAAAATAAAAAAAAGTATGAAACACATGAAAAAAATATAATGATAAGCATGTTTGTTATTATGTATGACTTTTATTCAGTAATATTCTTGTAATGCTAGCCACTTCAATAAGATAAAAGAAATAAAAGAATTGGAAAGACAGATTATCCTTATTGTGAAGATTCTGATCACCCTACATAGAACATCAAAGGGTATTCATAAAATAATCATTAGAACTAATTAGGGAGTCCAGCAAATTTGCTAATATAGGATCAATAAACAAAAATCAACGTCTTCCCTAAACACCATTAAATTATAAATTCTGAATGAAAATTTAAAGTATAACTTTCTATTTTAAATCAGCTTTTTATTTTAAAATAGCTTTAGACATATAGAAGTTATAACAGTGGTACCGAGCATTCCCTTATATCTCTCATCCAGTTTCTCCTATTGTAATCATTCTATATCACCATGATACATTTGTCACAAGTAAGAAATGAGTGTAGGTACATTATTCTTAATTAAGTTCAATACTATACTCTGATTTCATCAGTTTCCCCCAAATGTCCTTTCTCCATTCCTGGACCACATCCAGAACACCACTTTACATTTAGTTATCATGTCTTCTTAGCCTTCTATGATCTCTGACAGTTTCTTAGACTTTCCTTGTCCTTGATTACCTTGATGGTCAGGTTTCATGTAGAATATCTCTCAATTTTGGCTGTCAGTTGGGATATTGGGAAGGAAGACCACAGAGGTGAAAGGCCATTCTCATCACTTCACTTAAAGAGTGCATGCTTATCACATGACTTAACACTGATGATGCTAACCCTCATTACCTGGCTGAGATGGTGTTTGTCAGTTTTCTCCACTGCAAAACTACATTCTCCCTCTTTCCGTATACTTTGGAAGTAAGCCAATAACAGTGTACACTCAAGGGGTGGGGGGAAGTGAAACTCTACGTCCTTGAGTGAGGAGTCTCTGCGTAAAGTATTCGTAATTCTTCTGTAAGGGAGATTTATTAAACGTAGTACTTTTATCTTATATTTATTATTATTATTATTATTATTTTGAGACAGATTCTCACTGTGTCACCCAGGCTGGAGTGCAGTGTCACGATCTCGGCCACGTCCAGCCCTAAACGTAGTACTTTTAAAGGAAAAGGTAATATCCTGACATTGAGGAGGAAAATATCTCTTAACATACAGATTTAAGTAACATAAAGGGAAAGGTGAATACATTTGAATACATTAATTTAAAAAAAAATCTATGAGTACTGTATACAAAGTTAAAAGACAAACAGTATCTTGAGATGACATCATTTCAATGCATATATATATAACAAAGAATTTGCATAGAGAATAAATAACAAACTCCCACAAATCAAGAAAAGAGTAACTACACACACACACACACACACACATCTATCTATCTATATATATCTATGTCTAGATATATAGATAGAGAGAGAAAGACACACACAAGAAAATGAGGAAAGGATACAAATAGGCAGTTCACAGTTCCTTAATTGGGGAAACCCTTATTGAGATGATGTACAACCTCAGTAGTAATTAGGGAAATGAATCTTAAAACTACAAGGAGATAACATCTTCCACCCATCAGTTTGTTAGAAAAAATATCTGATATGGGAAGATGGGGTAGGAAGTTCATCCATTTAGTGATTATAGAAATATGAGTTGGTAATACTTTGGGTAAACATTTAGCAATAGAATTATGTTAAGGATTCAATTACACTAAATTTAGGGATCTCTTCCAAAGATGTGCTTCTCAAATGTTTTTGTGCGTAGAAATCACCTGAGGAGCTTATTAAACCACAGATGTTGATTCAGCGGGGTCTGAGCATCTTCATTTTTACCCAACTACCAGCTGATGCTGATGCTGCTTGTCCACTTGCCTGCACTTTGAGTAAAAAAGCTCTAGAGTAGAGGTCAGCAAACTATCACTCATTGGCCAAGGGCCAAATCTGGCTCTTGCCTATTTTTACAAATGAAATTTTACTGGAACACTCTCATTTGTTTATGTGTTGTCTGTGGCTGCCTTCAGACTATACTGGCAGAGTTTAGTGGTAGCAGCAGAGACTGCATGGTTTGCAAAGCCTAAAATATTTTCTATCTGGTCCTTTATAGGATAAGTTTGCCAACTACTGCTCTGGAGAAATTCTCCCACATGTGCATACAGATATGTGTGTAATAATATTGATCGCAACTTTTTTTGGAATAATCAAAAGATAGAAACAAGTGTCAGTTGGCAGAATAGGCAGATAATTTGTAGCATATTCACATCATGGACTTCGTTAGCTAAAATTAATGAACGGGAGCTACATGTATCAACATGGATAAATCTAGAAAATACCCACTTTTTAAAAGCTTAAACTTACACAGAACAAAACTATAATTTGGTTATGGATATATGCATATGCAGCAAAATTATTTCAAGATTCCTGAAAAGGATAATCAGCTATTTCAGAGCAGTGGTTACTTCTGGTGATGGGGTAGAGGAGAAACAGGGTTATATGTGAACTCACATGGGTTCTCAGCCATTGCAGTAATGGATTATTTGTTTAGAAATTTGAGAAGAAGATATCAAAATATTATAAATTGTTAATGCTGGAGGTAGGCACAGAGTTTCTACACTTTTCTGATATTTTAGATATTTCAAACATTTGAAAAGAGTCAAAAGACTCAGGAAAAAATATACTGAATACAAAGACAGATATTTTGAAGTACAAGGAAGGCAATGAAGATAGATTATTAATACCCGAGATTCTCTCTACTCTCAGTTAAGCAAGAAAAGAAGATGCTCAGCTATTACAAATTGTTCCTTATTTAGTGAATTCTGAGAATGGTAAAGAAATTTTTTTTCCATATGACTAGTATTGCTCCATGGCTTATGAAGTATTATGATTCTAAGAGGTCACTTCACCCATGTTATGGAGTGGAAGGATTTTCACTTTCTCTGGGGACTAACATTTCACTCCTTTAAGCCAAGATCAGCTTATCATTGGAATAGTCTTAGTGATTCCAAGTGGTGGGTGGCCCCCCAGCACACCTCCCCCCTTTTTTTGAGTTAGAGCCTTGAAATACTCATCAGGGACAAGCTGTGAGAGCCTTCAAGATCCCTTCAGGAGCGAGTCTTTTGCTTTTGTCTGAGAATCTCAGTGGTCCATGCCCCTTTATCTCAGCCAGGCATGGATGTCCTCCCCCTGTGACTTCCTGTGGGCATGACGCCATGAGCTAAATTGTAGTCGGGGTACATTCAGCCTCAGCCCCCTCCCTCTGAGCATCTGCACACAGCTGGAACCAGACTTGGCAACCGTGGCATGCGGGCCAGGACAATCTCGTCACTCATTTTCCCAGCAGCATTGAGGTGACTTTATAGGAAGAGGCGGCCCATACTGAAGTTGGGGGTCTCAGTTCAGTACTCTTAGCTACACAGTATACAACAGGGACATTTTGGTTCTAAGTACCTTTCAATATTGTATAGAACCCTTTGAAATGTGTTTGTTATTATAGGGATGTAGGAACACTTTGGGTCCAGTTATTCCCCCATGAAATGTACAGCTATATTAAAAAGTCCTGCTTGTTGGCATTCAACAACCTTTTGTCGTGTGCCTTATACATGTCAGGCAATGCGGAAGACACAGCCAGTGGATGACATGAGTGCCACCTTCTCTCCCAGCAGTAGCTTTTTCCAGCATTATGCTTCAGCATGGTGTCCTGTTGGGAACCTGATTTCTGACCATGCTTGCTTCCCTTACTCACATAGTTCAGTTTCTGAGCTGTCTCCCCCTTCTGAGATAGGTTTGTCCCTCTGCTGTAGGTTTCCAGCCACTTCTTTATCATTGTTAGCCATGACCAGAGGGAGCATAAGTTTGGTATTTTAGGGGCATTCAACAAGGCTTGCAGAGATGGGATTTCCTGGTCTTAATGCACAGCCTATAACCTAGTACAATAAACATAATGTTTATTGTACAGTTTGAATCTCAAATGCAAAGACAAGCCATGTAGGTACTGTAAATAAGTGCAGGGGTGAAGGATAATAGGAATT
The DNA here is from genome assembly GCF_000001405.40 of Homo sapiens. Taxonomy (NCBI): domain Eukaryota; kingdom Metazoa; phylum Chordata; class Mammalia; order Primates; family Hominidae; genus Homo; species Homo sapiens. The sequence goes on along the minus strand of NC_000015.10, from coordinate 87,984,880 downwards.
GGTGGAGAATATGGCAAGCTGGAGAACACACACTCACACACCTCGTATAAACTGAGTGGCTACCGCAGTGGGTTATCACTGTGCAGTAATTCTGGCCCAGGGTTGCCAGAACTCTCGGACTTTCAAGGGAAGCTAGAAATGGGGATATTTTAAATGTGAGATCTCCCAAGTTTTAAATGCTGGCAACTAAGCAACAAATTTTTAAAAAGACCATTTGTGTTAAAAAATAAAATAAAAGGCACATCATAAGGCCATATACGGCCTGTGGGTTAGGTTTGCAATCTCAGAGTAATAAAAGAAATAACCTGAAAGTTTAAAGCAGCATAGACTGTGGCCAGCAAGCCTAGGCGTTTGGGGCTCACTCACCTCGGCCAGTGCCGCCATCCTTTTATTGAATCCGATGGCATGAGAAGAAAGAACTTAGACTCAAAAAAGCGATAACTACACCCAAGGAAAAGATACAGAACAAATCAATCATAACCATAGCCCAGGCACCATTAGAATGCTTTGATGATCACCTTCCCACAACCTTAGAAGGGCCACCATACAGGCAAGAAAAGAAGCAAGAGACATGTGTCTATGAGGAATCCTTTCTTCACCAAGATTCACTCGTTTCTGTCCATGCTTGTTTACACAGTGGCCTGGGGTGGGTGCTCAGGAAAGAGTTCCACTGGGTACCATGCTTGGCTTACCAAGGGTATTCTCAGATATTCCACAACCCTTGGTTAGGGTATGACTATATTTTAATTATCCATCTCTCCATACTCATTACTACCTCACGTTCATGTGGTCATTTTTCATCCTCTCTAGGCTGAACTCCCTGAAACATCATCAAAATGAAGGGGTCCGTGACCAGACAGAGTTTGGGTTTCCTTATCTGGAAGGTCCCAGTGCATGCGAAGTGTCATTGTGAGGGTGGGGGTGAAGCCACCAGGGATAGAATTAAACCAGGGTTGGCCAGGGGAGGGAATGACAGGGTATGGTGCTGCTTACCTTCCTAACTAAGGAAGCTGTTAATAAGGTAAGAAAGCCCTGCCCTCTGTTTAGAACTTGTTGAAGTGGCCAGAGTGAGAGCCCTGTTCCCCCAAGAGAACGTCCTTACCATCACTATCTTGACCTCCATTTCACCCCCTTCCTGGATATTGGTTTTCCACAAATGAGATCCGTATTGCAAAGTGGTTAGTTGCAAGGACTTTGGAGGTATGAAGAGCTGGATTCAAATTTAGACTTTGCCACAAAGTGAACTTGGGGCTGTTTTTCCATATTATAAAGGCACAGTTTTCTCCCTTGTAAAGTGGAGTTAATACTATCCACCTTTTGGGGATGTTGAGGTATAAAGAACTAACTGTAGGTGATACCTGTCACTGGCACTCCCTTATATAGATCTATGGATTCCAGGGCTATCAGCAACATGTCTGATGGTACGATTGGCATAGTTGGGTATTGCTCGGGGCTCCCTGCTCCATTCCATGCCTACCTGCAATGGGGTTGAAAAACATCTCACCTCTTCTTACCTCTTGGGGGAAAGGTGGGAAAGTTGTGGAAAGTGTGGCACCCTGACTGGGGTGGGATGCCCTTCCCACTGCATTGCCTTCTGGCTCCCTGTTAGTCTACCACCCAGGGCCCCAGCGCCAGCACTCCTGTGTATTTCAGCCCATGCTAGGGTACAAAATGCTTTTTTCCACAGCCAGTGCTATGTCAGTGCTAAGGGTTACTGTGATGTAGCAACTTGAAGATGATGAATGAATACATTTGAAGAGGGGATGTTTGAAAATAATTCTATAGAACTGCATTTGGTATTGGGACTGTTGTCTAAACCATAACCTAAACTACTTTATGCAGTTAGGTAATAGTCTCATCTCAGATAACAAAAGGAAGAAGCAGAGACAGAAGGAGAAGGAGAGGTCTGTGAGAATCCACAGTCAGGTGGAAAGAGTGTAGGCAGAAGATGCAGGGAATACCTTCTCCCTGGAAGGTGCTGGGCTGGTAGCTCCAGAATCCCAAGGCCAGAGCACAGGGGTGAAACCCCAGCAAGGGAGAGAGAATTAGAATCTGCAAGAATCTCAGAAAAACAGATTTGAATGTCTTTTTATGTGGCAAAACCATGGGAACTGACCTTTCCTTGCTGCAGTCAATATAAAGGACTTGCCTTTAGAGATTCAACCAGCTCTTGACTCAATAGGATTGGCTCCAGAACCTCTCATCCAATCGTATGGGTGCTCAATGCCCCTTCTCCCCTAAGCTCCATTTACAGTGTCCCTCCCTTTCCCAAAAAGATCCCAGAGCCTCTGGCTTGCTTCTCAGGGAAAGTATTCTTAGAAGATCCCTGAAGACCCAGCTCTGTTCTGAATTACAGAGAGCCTACAGGTACCTTTGTGCTGAATGTTTTGGGGAAAGCTGTTGACAGACAGAGGAAAAGGTCAGATGTAGCGGGGTCTGTGGGCCCCTGGTGGGTAAGGCCTTCTTTGGAAATGCCTTTGATTTGCCCCTCTTCAGCCTTTTCTTCACCATTTACCCCTTTACCAGTGTCCACTGTGGTTCTGGGCTCCCCTGCTCTTCCCCCAGTAAATGCCTTTTGCTTTCTGCTCAGGGGTTGTTCTGAGACAGAGGGAGAGGAATGGAGGATTTTGGAGCAGTGCCTCTTATGCTATCAGGCTTCAGCTTTTAGAATCTTGGAAAGACTCCACCTGGGAAAGAGTTCCAGAGAAAACAAACTTCAGATCCCGGCTCATATGGGAAAGGGCTCATGTTCACGAAGGCAGCTTCGGGGACATTGGCAGAGACTTAGGCGGGCTTGGCCCTGGTCTTTAATGGATCCGACACGGATCTTTCCAGGGCCCACAAATGCTGCATGGTCTCCAAAGGAGATTTCATCCTCAGAAGCTACAATGATATCTCTTTATAGAAGTTGTAGTCTTCAGGTCTTCAGTGAGCTAACAGCTTTTGTTTTTCCAATGGTTTATGCCCTAACAATGGCAAGGAAGATTTTAAGGAACCAAACACCACCACCTCCTCTCATCTCCTCATCATCCCCGCCTTGTCACATTGCTTTCCTCTTGAAAATTAGCTGAATTTTTTTGATGGGATATTAGAAGCCAGAAAGAGGGTCTTGGGTCCAGGATTATCTCCCAAGTCAGAAGAAACATCCATCCAGGCCCAGGAATGACACTCTGAATGGCAATGATGGGCACCATTTTGAGACATTCTGGTCCAAGAAGGAAAATGGGGGGCAAATATGTTAGGAAAAGTGCAGGACAGAGTTCATGGTGATGGTGAATCTTTCTTCTCTGACTCTAACTTGTGCCATTTCTATAATGCCAGGGTGAGATTCTTAGGATCTAGATTTTATGCGTAAAATAAACCAGCTGCCACTACAGGCACAGCAGAGTGGGTACAGGAGCTGAGAAACCTGGATTTCTGTTTCTGGCATTGTGCACTTAAGAAAAATACTTTCCCATGTTTTTTGCACTTGGGGTTTAATACTGACCATTAATTCCCCCATGTCTGCCTCTTCTGCCAGGGGTCTTTTCAAACATAGACAATCATGGGATATTAAACTTGAAGGACAATAGAGATCATCTAGTCCCATCAACTCACTATATATATGAGGAACCTGAGGTCCAGAGTGGGGAAGTGTCTTACCCAAGGTCACATGGTGAGTTACCTCCTTTGACGTCTTTGTATGCAGTAAAGATCCCTCCCCTAACCAATTTTGGTTCTTAAGACCTTAAGACTCATCAAGCCTCCATATATTTCGTGGACTGAGGTACGACTAGGTGCCCAGCACGGGATTTGGTACTAAAAAAATCCCTTAAATTAAAGGAGTGTCTTCCAGGGGAGGAAGCTTCATAGGGCCTAGGTAAGGGCTATGGGAGAAGCAGGAGAGGACCATGGCCTGGAAAGAGACAGTGGTGTCACAAACTTTCTCAGCAGGCTACCCAGACCAATGGCCTTCCTTCCCTTTTCCTTCATACCCCAGATAACCTTTATCTGGGGTCAGGGCAGGGATGCTGTCTCAGAAATGTCTCACCTTGAAACAGCCTCCCTCCAAACATGATGTCATAGGCAAGGAAGGTTTCCTCTATCTTCACAAATCTGACCCCACCTCCTTCAGAGGAAGGGGTCCCAGCACCCCAAATGACTCAATACTGTTTTGTCCATAGCATGTCCTGGGCAGGAGGACAGGAAAGTCTCAATGCAATCAAATTTTGTTTCAAGTTTTTCCCATCATATTCCCAATGTCCAGAGGCCCCTTATGACCTCTACATTCCTGAGCATAGCTTCCATAAAAAGATAGGCTTACTCTGTGCACATATTCACACACACATACACATTCAAACACACACATATGTGTACACACACATATATTCGCACATACATGCAAACACACATGGAAACACATACACACATCCACATGAAAACACACAGGTGTACACATGCAAACACAAACATACAGATGCACACAAACACACAAATACACATGCAAACACACATGCAAACAGATACACACATGGAAACACATGTACACATGCAAACACACACACATGCAAATGCACACACACACTCTTTACACACACTTTTAAAATCTGTAGTTGATTGAACAACATCTTTCTGGAAATTTTATTAGGAACTCCCACTTTTCAGGATATCCTAACTCAGTCCATGGCTGTATGGCCAGAAAGGAAATGAGCTGTCATGGAAGTCCTCCTTGCTCGAGGCAGCACGTGGCCTCGGGGCCACCAGTGTTACTCCTCCAGGGTATTTTCCTCCCCTGTAAGATTTGGAAAGATGGCAAGGCTCAGAGATCAGCCGTTACTCTCTAAACCTTCCACAGACCTGTGGTGTGAGGCGAAAAGGTCAATGAGAAAGAGCTTGTAGGCTTGGGAGTATAGCACCCCCACCTCCTGGTGTGGTCAGAAGTGGTCTGTGTAATTTTAGCTCCTAGAATTAGAAATGCCCCTCTGGTATCCTTAAAGAGTGTCAGTTCTGGGAAAGCATAGCCTTCTCCTCCCATCCCTTAGCCCCTAAGTGACCCTACAGTGCATACCCCTTCTCCGACACACCCCTCAGCTCATCGTCAGGGTCTCCTCCTTTCAGAAAGATGCTTATAGACTGAGACCCACTTAGATGAGACCTCTCCTCCTCTTCCATGACAATCCAAGGCCAAGCCCCCAAAGGTTTTGCTCCCTTCCCTTCCTCAGTTCAGTGGAGGCTGCAGCAAAATGGAGTGTTTCCAGTTTCTCTGACCATGCAGGGTTTTAAGTTAATCCCCTCCTCCTATCCTTCCCTTTTGCTGACAGTTCTTCCCCTTTCAAGCTCCCTCTCTATTTCCCCTCCTAGTTTTGATCTTCTTTGGGGGTTTTGGTTTTTACTTTATTTTGCTTTTTTCTGTTTTTTTTTCTTTTTGTTTTTTATAGGTTTCAGAGAAATTATGTTGAATCCAATAAGCCTTCCCGGACATTCCAAGCCTCTTAACCATGGCATCTATGTTGAGGATGTCAATGTTTATTTCAGCAAAGGACGTCATGGCTTTTAAAAACTCCTTTTAAGCCTCCTTGTTTTGATGTCACCTTGGTAGGCTGGGCCCTCTGAGAGGTTGGAAGCTCTAGGCATTGTTCTCTTTGGATCCAGGGATGCTAAGTAGAAACTGCATGAGCCACCAGTGCCCCGGCACCCTTTAACACCACCAGATGGGTGTTTTCCCCCATCCACCACTGGCAGGGTTGCCCCTTCCCTCCAATCATCACTGTGCTCCTTTTTTCCCGGCCTACGAGGCAGCTCCTGCCACTATCTTTAGAGCCAATAAAGAGAATTAAAAACCTGTGCACCAGGAGCATCTTTTAAATACACTAGCCATTCTCTTGCTTTACAAAAACAACCTAACCATCACAAGAAAGCCTGATGAAGTCCAGCCGTGCTCCAGCCTCACTTTCCCTGCTTGGAAGCGTGGGGTCTCCCTGGCTCTCCCAGGATACCATGCTGTCCTCTTAGTGACCTCGTCGCCCTGCAACCTCCAGTGGGGAAGAGTCACAGAGAGCACCTAAGCAGAGGTGGAGACGGCGCGGTAAGAGGAGGGGGAGCCAGGCTCAAGTATTGGCACCAAGTTAGGTCTCAGAGGAAAGAATGGAAACCAATCACTTTACATTTTTATTTTTATTTTCGGTGGAAAAATCATCCTTTTTTGGGACATACTTGCCCCCTACTTCCTCTTCTCTCTGGAACGGCTCACAATGAGTGTGACATTAGAAAACTCCTTGCAGAGGAGAGTTTCTCCAGGCTCTTCCTGGGCCCTTAGATCTGCAGTTCCGACAAGCTTTGGCTGCAGGAGGTTTTACCCATGAACTGGCCATCCTACTAGGACCACAAGGGACCAAGGGAATCAGGGACAAAGGCCCTTCCTGCCAGCCCATGATCCCGGGATTGGCTCTCTTCCCCTACTTCCACTTATTCTTGACTCTGAGAACTTTTGGAACCCAATGGAATCAGCATTTCAAGGTCAAGATGAACTGAAGGGGAAGAGAAGTAAAACTTGGCCTCCTCCAGCCCCTCTCATGGCACCAATGGAAGTGTCCTCCTGTTCTCTGGTCAATATGTGTGTTTACTTTGCTTGCTTTGACTCATGCCTTACTCCATGGCCACCCTCTCCCAAAGAGGGGGCTCGCTTCCCCCATTTTCAACTTGATCCACTGAGGAGAGGGAAGGGGGTGACTTTCCCTTCTTCAGTAGGAAAGGCACATTTGTAGGGCCTGAAACTCTCCCGTATTTGCTGACTCATTGGTGGAGTAGACTTCTGGCTCCCAGCTCCACTGGCCCATGGGGCCTCCATTGTATGAAGTCAGCATAGGCTGCCCACCTAATGGTGGAGAGCATGAAACTGGGAGCATCCTGTGGGGGGCTTGTGGGGGAAAAAGGTGGTTGTTTTAACCCACCGTTGTTTTGGGGTGGTGTTGCACACTAGTAGAGAATAGAGTCTATGCCTTTGGCAAATTTAACTGGGAGTTTGGATTCCCACTTAAGGGTTTTACTTCTTGGGTCCTGTGGATGGTGGTTCTTCGTGTCAGGATCCCAGCCCGATTCTGCAAATGCCTCCATGGGGTTTAAAAACATGAGGCTTTCCAAGTTCTTGCCCAGTATCTGGGGCAGCCTCCAGAGTATCACCTGGGAGTTCAGGTTCTCTCCAGGGCTCCAGGTGTGTGTTTATCTCGCCCCCTCCAGCTCTCCTCATCCTGCTCCCCATTGCTCCATGTCAGGCTGTTCCCCATTGTGCCCTGCTGATGCTTTGGGTCCAGGGCCTCCTCCCAAGTGTGGCTTTAAGGAGTAAGCTTGAGGATGATGTTTTTTAATTATTGTAAATCATTACCTCATTTCCAGCCTCCCAGGCTCCATCCATCCCAGCATCTTTTATTCTGCCATTTTCCTCACCTTGTGCTATGACAATGGGGCGTTGTGTTTCCACAGAGACTTATAGGAGTGTTCAGTGTATAGTTTCTTAATAAACACTTTATTTTCTAATGAAATGACTGAATCAGACCTCTTATTTGGAAATTTTGCAAAAACATTCAAAATACAGAAATTCCAGGTTACCTGCATTTTTTCCTGTTTTCCTGTTACTCTTTTAAAGAAGTTTCTTAGTTAAGTTCTTTGTTTACAAAGGTGTTCACAATCTGTTCCATTGGTTGCTTTCATTGAGAGTCTTCCAGATAGCTTAGGCTCATACAGTAAAGTGCTTTTTCATCGTATTGAGAAAGAATTAGAGGCTCAGAGAGGTTGAATGGTTCATCCAGGGTCACACAGTGTGAGAGGTGAAAGCAAGATTCAAATCTGACTTCTACAGACACTACTCAGGCCACTGAGACCCTCACTCCTTTGGTAGCTGGGGAATGTTCTGTTGTCTGAGCAGCCAAGGCTCACAGAAATCTTCTCTTGAGAGCTGATATATGGGGGTCTGAGAGTGGGGTTGGGGATCCTTTATCTTTGGTGCACCAGCAAAGCCAGTGGGGCTGTCCCTAGGATGGAGTGGTTTTGTATGTTCCCTGTGGATGTTGGGAAAGTGACCTTGCCCAAGGAAAGACGGGGCTTTGGGCGTACAGGTCAACACACTTGTCATTCAGAGACACACTCCCTTTCATGCACACACTCAGGTGAGCCACACTCTCATGGCAAGTTTCATGTGGGCTGCCAGGAGGGAGAGGCCAAAGAGTAAAATGCTTAGATGAACTGGCACATCTGTGCACCCTTGGACCCTGGCAGTGACACAGCTAGAAGAGTTGAAATGCTCCCTGTAACTTGCCCTCTTCCTTTCAGGAGGAGAGGACACCGTGAGGCCCTGTATGCAGGAGAGATGGAGCAAGAGTGGAGAATGCGGGCCGGGAAAAGGCTCCTGGGTGGATCTGAATGCTTCACTGGGCCCCAGTAATCCCTGATGGAGCTCAGTCATTGAGGCAGTAGAGATGAGACAAGTAAAGTAATGTGGAAGAGCTCACGTTCCAGTCTGACAGGAAGTTGATCAGGCTAGGTTGGTGCTTTTCTATATACCCTCAGTTGCTTTATCTTCTATTTAAGTCTAGTTTGGTTTGAGACCCCCTTATGCCAAATGGAAGCTCCTGCTCTCTAGAGTGGCCTGGGTGAGGGGTAGACCAAGCTCGGCATTTATCTCTTCTTGAGGGTTCCAAGGAGAAAGAGTTGGAACAGGGATGCCTGAAGGGTTGAGGCTGTCCTGGGGACCATGAGGACATGCACTGGTTCGAGGGAGAACTTTCATTTTTAATATAGGAGAGATTTGAGCTTTCTTTTTTTCTGATGCTTGGAGCCTATCAGTGTATGGGAGAAGAGATAATAGATAAAGATGGCCCCTGAGAATATGGGAAGGAAAAGTATCCACAGCTCAGGAGGAAGGGATAGCATTGGCCTCATGGAGGGAGTGCTCTTCCCATAGAGCAGGAGGCAAAAAGAGGAAAGGATGTGGAATGTCTTTTCAAGGTGATAGGGCAAGGAAGTGAGGGAGTTCTTGTCTGGTGGCTTCCATTTTTCCTATAAAGAATGAGGCAAGGCCTTGTGCTGCTAGTGAGAAGACCCAAGGAGAGTTGGAACATCTGAATTGACGGGGAAGAGACTATGGACGACTATGGGGATCTATGGAAAGGTTGCTGGGCAGAATGAGGAACCAGCTGCGATTGGAGTCTAGGCCTCCGTTTTCCATGTTTTACTGCTAGGTGTTGAAGTCTCATGGCATTTACCCCAGGGTTGGTGCCTCTAGGGAAGTCAGAGCTGGTATAGGGCAGATGCGGAGAGCTGAACTCAGCCCAGAAAGATGCCAGTTTGGACTGGCCTCAGCTTAGGGTGGCTCAGGGAACCAGCCAGTCCTGCAGCTCCCTGACCTCCTGCATTCGAATGTCACCAACAGGATTTCACAGTAGCTTTGTCAGACCTTAAGCTTACATTTTGATCCTGCGGGATTTTGCTGCACAGATTGACAGCTGACTCAGTTCACGAACCCAGGGTGCTTGCCAGGCGCTCCCTGGATCTTCATTCTAGAGACTTGGTTGACAGGTGCTGGTTCTGAAGCTCAGAGAATGAGAAACTCAACTGTACCAATAAGATCTTGTAGAAACAAGGTGAAATTCGATCTAACACATTCCAGGGACATGCCCTGGAGAGGCTGGACTTTTTTACTAGCATTACATGATGAGGTCCTGGAACTGGTTGCCAACCTCCCAAGAATGGGTTTACTGTGGGGCATTAATAGTAATAATTCTATGTAACTTATGAAGCACTTACTCAGAACCAGTCAGATTTTACCCACAAGGAAGCTGAAGCTCAGAAAGATTGAATAACTAGCTCAGGTTTCCACAGCTTGAAACTGGCAGAACCAGGACTGACAGGGGGACTGCCTGACACCTCAAAATGCTTTTGGCCACTCTGCAGCCCCCTAAAGTAGCACATCTTCTGCTCCTGGAAGGCTATGATTGTGAAACACCACCTAGGTGCTCCCCCCTCCAACCCCACTCCACTCCTAAGACAGAGAAGTCTTTCAGGGGTCTTCAGGGATGAGCACCATCCCTGACTTCCTTCTGGAACTTTTGGGACAGGGTGATTTTAAAGACTGGAAAAGAACATCTGCAACGTTCTTTCCTCTCATTGTAGCATTTAGTGACTTGGGGGTGTATGAAAGCATGGTTGGGCTTAGATCTGAGATTAATCACATGTCTTACAGTTGGTGAGATTCCCAAGCAATGATGGCCTTTTTGATATTGGGGAGGACTCATCATACAGTTGGATGAGACCAACCTGATCCTTAGGATAGCAGTTAGGCTGCCCAGGTCTGGGCAAGGGTGAGAAGCTTCAGATAGGAAGGTGGTAGAAGAAAGGATGAGACCAACCTGATCCTTAGGATATCAGGTTAGGCTGCCCAGGTCTGGGCAAGGGTGAGCAGCTTCAGACAGGAAGGTAGTAGAAGAAAGGGCCTTGTCTGACTACCCACTGTCACTTAACCTTTCTTCAACGCACCTCAAAGACCTCCTGATATGTCCAAGCTCAGCCATGCAATGCTCACCCTAAAAAGACCAAACACAAATCAGGCTCAATTTGGAAGTCAAGAATCTGACCTCTAGCCACCTCTGTCTCTTCTTTTGTGCGGGAATCCCTTTCTGCAGCCAAGCTCCCAGCAGCCACATCCTCACCTCCACCTCCCCAGCCACAGGTGTGACCGCAGCACAGCACTGGGCTGTGACACATCCCCTGGCTCGTCCCAGTTCCCTCAGGTCAAGACCAGGCATGAGCAAAGGATCAAGCATCTCAGATACAATGGTGAGGCAGCAAGGGAGGGTTGGATGCCGCGGGAAAGCTCAGGAGCGGGCAGATCAATGCAGGACGACTTCATTGTTGTGTAGCTTTCTGCACGGAGCCAGACATGGATTAGGCAAAGAGCCGGAGCCTTTGTTCCTTCAGGGTTTACTGACTCCTGTGCTCTGGCTAGACTCGCACATTGCTGCCAGCATGACTCTGAAAGCAAGAGCAAAATGAAGGTGGCAGGGAGGGAGAGACAGGGAGGGGGAGAGGGGCGATGCTGGCTGCTTGGAGTCTTCTCTGTGAAGGGCCCAGGGAAAACTCTTAAGCATGACAGCAGAGACGGGAGGAAGGTGGAGAACAATGGGGAGTCTGGCTTCCATCTAGACTGTCCAGCACGGGCCTGGAGCTCTCCTCCTCCTCTCTCCCAGCTCTCCCCCACCCACCACATTGCCAATCTTTAATGCTGGCTGATGTGGGCGAAACTGCTTGCAGCCTCCAGATTCCTTGGATAGCTCTGGTTCTGCATTTTGCCTTTAGAAATCCTACTGTTACCACCCCCTATACTTCCCACCTCCCAAGAAAACCTCAGCCTAGATCTGACAGTATATTTCCAGAGCTAAATAAGACTCCTTCTTCAACCCTACTTGAACCCAAAAGTGAGTTGAAGGAGATATGCTGGCAAGAGATAAGTCCCTTGTCTGCTTTTTTGGGTGGTTCTGAAATTCCATCAGGATTCTGAGGCCCTCTTGGGTAGGACTTTTGTTCCAGTTTCTCCTACTCAGTGGATAAAACTTGCATAGAGTGACCCCAGTTTCCCTTGAAATTAAATCTTGATAAGGGAAGAGATTTCTGCACGGGTGATAAGGTCTAACACCCCTCTGTGTTTTTGCCCCTTTTCATTTTGGCACATTTTCCTTCTATCACAAAATATCTGGGTGTTTGTGCCTGAGAGAGCTAGATCTTCTCTCCTCATTATGCTTGACTTCTGGGTGGGTGTGAATGCATTGCTCAAAGGTTCTGTATGCTCCTGGGCCAGGATGGCGAGGAATGACAAAAACGAGGGGGACAAGGAAGATATCAGAGGCAAACCTTTGACTGGGGCATGCTCTGCTTTGAGAGAAGGGAACAAGAAAGACAGGAGCACTTCTGAGGAGCACAGATCCCACAGGGACGTAGAAGGTACTGATGGCTCAGATTTGGTATCAAAGGCCTCCAGCCCAGGTCTGTGTGGGTTGTATCTGGGAAGGAACTTGGAACTCTGAGGTAGAGGAAAACGGCAGGGTTGCAAATTACCCAGAGAACTGAGCTGTAGAGAAATCTTAGCTGAGGGCTCTGGTGGGACTTTCAAACCAAGATACATGAGCCTTCCATATGGGACCAGATGGGCACCTGGCTTTCTCAGGATCATGGTATTTTCTCATGACCCTCTACCAAAAGGATCCTCTCAAAGCTTCTCTTAAATAGATGATTTAAGGCTTTGATTTACCTATGGGTGGGGACTGGGGCCTTTGGCGTAAGTCAAGAAGAATGGAGCTTGGCTTTTCTGAGAGCCAAAACCCTCGAGCAGTTCTCACTTCACACCCTAAGAGTAATGTCAAGTAATGTCTGAGTTTGGAGGGGTGGTCAAAATCCCCTGCTCAGCTATGGAGAGGGTTTGCAGAGCAAGGAGTGAGGCTGCCCAAAGGCATCGTTCCAGTATGGCAGTCCCTGACTTTTGTCTTCTTCCAAGTTTGAGGGACAGAACATCATGTCACCTCAGAAAACACTACCAAACCTGGCTTTGGTAAGTAATGCTGGAAGCCTTTGTGGATTGCAGTGATGACCAGCTTGTCTTCATGGCTGTCTTTGCCTCAGTTTCTGCCACCTGTGTGCTGTTATCATGGCAGCTCAATGAAGCCTAGCTCTGCCTTTGGAGACCTCACTGGAGCAAGTGGCCTATTTCCCTGAAAAAGACACATTCTCCCCTCCCTTGCCCTCAAGTTCATTCTGCAGTGAGAAGGACAAGGACTTAGCCTTGGCAAAGGGGAAAGTGACTTCACTGCTGTCTAATATGGCCTGGTGATACCTCTGTTACAGAGTTCTGATAGACCACTTACTTTCTCACTCCAAAGCTCACACTACCTTCAGTCTGTTTGGGACCTCGTAATGTCGTTTAAAAATCACATTGTGGTATTCTTTGCTCTGCAAGGCTTGCAATAGCCTTTGGTCAAAAGTCATGAAATCCTGACCTTCAAAAACGCACTTCTCTTAAAAAGAGAGGGTGTGGAGCTGTGGGGAGCACATGTGCTCTTCTAGGGATGGGGCAGGTCTACAGAGCCTGTGACATGGTCCTTGGCAGCTGCACAGGCCTAGGGAAATATTTACCTCTCACAGCTAGGTTCTTGAGCGTGTCGGGAGCTCATGACATGGAGGGTCCTCTAGTTTTAAGCTGAAAGGGTTTAGCCTCTGTGACGCAGGGGACCCCTGCACCTACAAAGGCTAATTTCCAGTCTTTCTCAGCACTGGGTCAGACAAGCAGTCTCCAAGCTCTGCCCTCTTGCTGCCAAAGTCAAGGCAAGGGTGACAGAAGGAACATTCCAGAGTACTGGCTAGATACTAACTAAATCTAGCCTATTAATTATATTCTGTCAGAATCTCTGGATGCTCTTGCTATTAATTCTGAAAGAAAATTCACATGGCAGAGAACATGAGAGTAAATCTCAAACAACTTCTGTCAAGACTGCTAGTTCCTGACAGCTCACCCTGGCCAGGAGGGCACAGCCAGGATCTGTGATGCTCTCTGGTTGCCCCCAACCGGCGACCATAGCTCCTCACTGAGGCCTTTTGCTTCAGAGGGAGCCAGATATAGAGCTGGCCAGGGAGAACTTGAGTCTGTTTCCTCCCACTGTCAGTGGGCAGCAGGGGAGGCACCACCAATATAGAACATATTCTGAGAATGTCCTTCTTGGGAGAATTTAAATTCTAAGTTCATGTTTAAATGACTCACAGAATCGTTCAATCTTTATGGCTGTCAATTTGGCATTTCTTGCTACCATAACAGGAGATTGCTACACAGTACCTCTGATACCAAATGGCCAACCTAGTCGTTAAGAAGACCAGAATAACCCCACTGTGCATTTTCAGGATGGTGTCTTTGGCCATCTTAATAATTTTATTGGGTCAATCACTTGACCAACTGTTATCCTGCATAAATTGGTCTGTTTTCTGGGCAGAGCTTCAGGGCCTGCAATATGGTTCTCCCTTAATTTGAAATCCCCAACTTGCAGAAAAATCTTTTTCTCTTCCTCCAGTTACTAGACAAATGATGTTGTAAGGATCAAGTGCTCCCCTTTTTATTGATTGCAGCAATGTTTCTCCTTAGTCTCATGATATGCCAAGGATCCATCAGAGAACTTTGGAGAATGTTGCACAATATGGCCAGCTCTTAGAGTTTCACAGTTTGCATTAGGATATCAAAGGCTCCAAGAAGTCCTGCTGTAAACAAACCTTATTCTACCTCTTTCCAATTCTAATTAAACACAAAACATTCTTCATTTAATATCTATTAATAGACTCAGCACACACATGTTAGAAAACACTGGGTTATAGTGTGATCAGAAGCTTTTAAAGAAGAATCAAGCAGGATGTGTTCGTCAACCACCCACTTCTTATATCAAGAAACCACCACACCCAGCACGCTACCCAGCTCTAGGCTCAGCCCTCACTTCTGCCTTCTACGTAGAGTCAGAAAAAATTCTGGTTGCTGATGGATAGACACTCTTGTGAAGATCAGGAAACCTTCGCTGTGATATCTCAGAAGAAAATGGTAAGTCATTTCACATAAGAGCTTGAGACCTCAGCATTAAACCTGGCCATCCGCCCAGGCTGGTGGAGGTGACATCATCTAGTGGTAGCATACAGCAATGAAGACCCGGATCCCAGTCTCAACTCTACCACTAGCAAAATGACATGGGGTAAGTTACCTTTCCTTGTTCCATATTTGTCTCTGAGTAGCTAGTAGAGTTTGCTGATCCTCATGTAAAAGACCCTGCCTGGACAGATGCCCCAAATACCATGTCCCCATGAGTCACTGTTGTCTCTTAGTGGAGGACATCTCTTGGTTCCTGGTCCTTCTCTCTCTCTGAATATGTTGTGTATAAGGCAAACTGAGTGAGAGAGATGGCTGCCCCTTTGGGTGAGGATCAGTGGATTTCTCTGGATGAGGGTGGAAGCAGATGCTTGGGGGTTAATAGACCCTCTCTGTCACAGCTGGACAAGGCCAAGCGGGAGTTCTCGGCAAGATTTTCTGAAATTGATCTCAAGAAGGCAGCTCTGCCTAACAAATAGTCTGAAATGTCAAAGTATAAATGTTAAAGCTTGAGGGGTCATTCTCCAGGGAGTTGCCTGGGCTGGCTAGGGAGGGAGAGGAGGAGGGAGAGAGGGACACAGCAGAATCCTTCACATAAAGATTCTGACTTGGTTTTGTGATATTTAAGAAAAAAGAAAACTCTGAATTATTTATAGCACAGAAGATGTAAGCAGGCTGTAGAGAAGTAGCCTGGCTTCACATGATAGTTTATGGCCATTATTTAGCTGCCCCAGCCTTGAACTGGTAAAACTTTTCTCATTAGTCACATGCTGTTGAGCTCTACTTGAGCTATCTATCTATCTATTCTTCTTATTATTGCTATTATCATTATTTTAATCAAGAAAATTCATGTCCTTCAATATATGAGTTGGGGGACGCAATTTCTGGAAATGATATTTGCACAAAGCAGGAGTTACCTCTTTCCCTTAAAGGGACTCTGGCACACGCGTCAGTAACTCTTTCCACCCCTGTGGGTGTTTCCAGCCTGTGCCTCTTCAAGCAGGGATTCGGAAGGCCCCTGCTCTGATATGAGTGGGAAGCATCTCCGTTTGGGCCTGGGCACCAATTGGCCATGTCAATCTGGGAAGGTGAATTTCATCTCTCATTCGTTCCCTCTGAAAGATGAAGGCAATTGTCCTATGCCTCTTCTGAGTATGCTGGGCATAGGAAGGATAATTCCATTGTGTTCAAAATACCTTGGTACCTGGCAGGGGGTGGGGGGATAGCATCTATGTTATGTGAGGAGATAAAAGAAGTAAAGAAATGTTAAAAGGTTAAATAAAAACTGATTGAAGGATTGGTGGTAAAGCTGGGGGGAATGAGTTCTTTCATCTGTTTATTTTGGTCAGTGATAAAATGAATGCTTCATGTTGATAATCATATCCTGATTCTATAGCATGGGTAATTGAAATTCACCAATAATCCCCAAATTGCAGTTAGAATCACAAGCTTCACATGCTCTCTCTTCCATCTCTACACATGGTACAAACACGCTCTTAGTCACTCTCCTAATTGTTTTTGCATACCCTTGACAATACTCTGGGAGATGCAAACACATGGAGTCAACTTTTGGTCAGTTTAGGGGTGGTGAGGTGAGGTTAGTCAAACTGCAAATTAGATCATCAGTAGAGCTCCAAACAAGCAATATTGTATTTAGGAGGTGTTGCTTTTGTTGAAGATATCAATACTTTCGTTTCTTTCCTAGACCTGTTTTTTTTTCTACCTTGAAGAACCTGGAGAACATTTTGCAGTTAAAATGTCACAGTGACACTCCTGTTATAAAACTCTGAACGTGTACATATTTTTACCCTCACTAACTTACTCTACCTCCCAGAAGTCTTTGAAGTGTTTTGCCTCCACTCCCTACTTGCTGTGATGTAGAAGTTAGGCTAGCACCATTGCTCTAGGGCAGTGGTTCTCAAAGTTTTTGGTCTTGGGACTTCTTTTCACTTAAAAGTCATAGAAACCCCAAATGATGTTTGTTTCTGTGGGTTATATCCATCATATTCACTGCATTTGAAATTAAAACTGAGTATAATTTAAAAGCTCAAGTATACACACACATTCCATGTAGCTGTCAGGATGATGACATCATCACATGTCTGGAAACCACTGGACAACTTCATGAATAATACCTGCGAGACACGAGAGTAAAAAAGGCATACACTATCTTACTATTGCTGGGAAAATAGTTTTGACACATGAATCTCCTGAAAGGGTCTTGAGCCCACCAGGGACCTTTGGACCATTTTGAGACCTGCTGTTCTAGGAAAACAGGCACAAGCAGATTCTGAAATCAAACCTGAGTCCCTTTGGAGCCAGGGAAATCTACCAGTCATGCACTTTGATCCAAGTGTAGAAGTCCATCAGAATTCCATTTCTTTACTCAGACATCACTGACTGCCCCATGGGTGTTGACTTAAAGCAAACTGGCTACAACCATGCATGTTCAGTTGCTAGGAATGTGGAAAATATACAAGAAAGACTTCACCTATTATAAGAAAACAGAGTGGGGGCTGTTTGCTTGCTCTGGAGAAGAACATGGGCTTGATGTCACAGTAAACATTATTGGTTGATTGAAGAGACTCAGCACGAACAGGATTTACAAAATCCCATTGGTGAGAGCAGGAGGCATGAATGGCATGGGATGAGAGAATTTATAAGCAGCACCTTGCTGGTTGGGCATCCCTTCATTGCACTGTAGCTCTCATTGTGCATCACATTTGGACTTGTTTAAGGAACATGTGAGGCTCGCAGTGCTCTAGCCAGGACCTATGGGAGTGCCTATTTAAGTTTAGACACTCTGGCACCTCCTTCCTCTTTCTCCTAAGCTGGGCAGCTTCGGTATAGGAAGATTGGACTATGAAATGCTTTAATGTCTAGGGAGCTTCCTTAGGTTAACTCTGTATAGCACCCAGCACACCACCCAGCAGAGGGACCTGTCTCATCATGAGGTCCTAAGTGGGTGACAGTGTTCATGCCTCTTCCTGTTCATCATTTATACCCCGGGGAGCAAGAACTGCCCTTCTGTGGGATTATTTCACAAACCCACCGGAATAGGGTCTTTCAAGGAATACCTCTGAGATCATGAGCAAATGTTGCTTAATTGACTCATTCTTCAAACATATTTGGGGCATCCACTCTGTGCCACACACTCTGCTACTAAGTGAGTCAGTTGTATTTCCTGTCATCAAGAGCTTTATTGTCTCCTGCACTGGTTTTCAATTGGGGGTGATCTTGTCCCCTAAGGGACATGTGTGGAGACATTTTTGGTTGTGACAACTGAGGGTGGGTGCTTCTGACAGCTCCCCACAAGAAAGAATGATCCAGCCCCAAATGCTAACAGTATTAACGTTGAGAAACCCCAGTCTAGAGACAATACAGTCCAGTATTCACTAGTCTTGGGTAAGAGGGGACCTCCCCACTTTTTAGGGCCCTCCTTTAGCTGCCAAAAGTCCTAGGGCCATGAGAAGGGACCATCTGGAGCCTGCACCCCACCTCCCTTCTAGACAATGTTTCATTTCCTAAACCAGAATTCCTTACCCAAACAGCTCTCAGCTTGCCTCCAGGACACATGCGGGTCTCTTCATTCATCTGTTCTAAGGGTGGGCTACGCTGCAGGTACGTGTACTGCTAAGCCCAAGAGTTGGCCAAAGGATTACTGTGTGGGGGCAGTGGGAACATCGAGAGTGTCAGGGTGGGACGGTTAGAGGAAGATGGAGTTGCAGGCTCAGTGTGCACACATATGTACGCGAGACCCCTTTCACTGTGGGATGGAAGATGGGGGTGGAAGAGAAGGGAACAGGCCAGGGGCCAACTCCTTAGCACCATGTGTCTCCACTCGCAAATCTGAGGAACCAGAGACACCGGAAGTCACCTGGTCCTTCAGGTCATCCTGAAGATCAATTTCGCAGGGCAGGAGGATAAGACATGCCTTATTTATTAGTGTGTTAGCTTGATTTATAACTTCCAAATTTTAGACATGTGTGTGTGCTTCTAATTATTCCCTTGTCCCAAGTCCTTCAAATGTAAGGAATAGGCCTGGTATAGATAAGTGAGTAATTATGAAGCAATATGATGAAATTATGGGAGAGGTAAACATAGAGGAAAGACACCTAGTTCCCAAGTGGAGTTTTTTGTTTGTTTGTTTGTTTGTTTGTTTGTTTGTTTGAGACAGTTTTGCTCTATCATCCAGGCTGGAATGCAGTGGTGTGATCTCGGCTCACTGCAACTTCCACCTCCTGGGCTTAAGTGATTCTCAAGCCTCAGCCTCCCGAGTAGCTGGGATTACAGGTGCCCGCCACCACACCTGGCAGATTTTTGTATTTTTAGTAGAGATGGGGTTTCACCACGTTGGCCAGGCTGGTCTCAAACTCCTGATCTCAAGTGATCCACCTGCCTCGGCCTCCCAAAGTGCTGGGATTACACACATGAGCCACCTTGCTCAGCCTAATGGAGTTCTTAAAAATACTGAATCATGATATTGATCTGCAGATGTTTAAATAAAAATGGCAGTTCAAAGAATGGCATAATCAAAATGATCAGTTAAGACTTTAAAGTTTCCATTGTTTAGAGAGAGCTGCCTTCAAGCCTTGGAAATCCTGACTCCACTGCCTGGTGAATAAACACCACGGTCCTTTGGTGACCTCGGGCTGCCTGAGGTACACAATTGTGGAGGTTCTTCCTGCTGGACAGTCTCCACACTGGGGCAATGCTCTTACAGGCCCACCCAGTTGCCATAGAGACTGATCTCGAGGTCTCCACAATTGACTGGTATTTACTGGGGATCTGCAGCTTTCTGGATGCCGTGACCAGCATCATAAAGGAAAGAGAGGGGCTGCCCCTTCCCGGCTCCCCATCTGTGGACTATTGTGAGAATATCTCTCTGTCACAGAAAGGTAAAGACCCTGGAGAAATTGAATAGGAAGGATAGTTTTTTTCTTTTAATAACATTGTGCTTTTTTCTGATTACAAAGGTAATTTATATTCACAGTAGAAAATTCAGTGAAATACAGAAAAGCACACAAACACATAAATTATCCACCATCCCATCACCCAGAGACAACACTGTTAACATTTCAGCTTTCTGCCTTCTAATCTTTTTTATGTACTTATTTGTCAGAATCAAATCATTCCACGTGCACATGCACATACACATTACTTTGCTACCTTTTTTTAAAAATAAGATTGCATTTGCAATTTAACTGATCTTTTGCAATGTTAAAAATTTTTGTGGAAGTGATATATTCACCACATGGTTAAAAAAATACACACATATACACACACACAAACTTGCACAGAAATGTTCATAGCAGCATTTTTCATAATGGTCAAGAGCAGAAAAACGCAATGTTTATTGACTGGTGAATGGAGAAAGAAAATGTGGTGTAACCATAGAATGGATTACTACTCAGCAATAAAAAGGAATGAAGCACTTACACATGCTACAACATGAATGAATCTCAGAGAAACATGCTAAGTAGCTGGACACAAAACATCCCATTTTCTATGATGCCATTTGTGTGCAATGTCAAGAAGAGGCAAATACGGAGAGACAGAAATTATATTAGTGGCTGCCTAAGGCTGGGGTTGGAAGCAGGGATTAACTATAAATGGACCCAGGGTTCTTGTTGGGGTGATGAATGTTTGAAAACTGGTTTATGCTGGTGATTATACCATTCAGTAGATTTACTAAAAGTTGTTGAATTTTACATTAAAATAGGTGAATTTTATGGTATGTAAAATAATGTCTCAATAAAGTTTGTATATATATACAAAATAAGTTATATAATAAATATGTAAAATAAAGTTTGCATGTATGAACTCAATGATGCTTGTATATAATACATAGTAAATATATAATATATAAACTAAACATATATAATATATGTAAACTTTATTGAAGTATTATCATTATTTATCCAAATTACTGCTACAGATTGATCTATCTGTCTATAAAATGAGAGCACTCCCCTTTTTTACACCTGTTCCTCATTGGCAAGTTGTTCCTAGCACCGCTACCATTACCAGATAAGTAACCTCTGTTATTGAGTGTCCTTATGAATTATATCTAAGCCAATTATATACAAACAGATATAAATGTATGTTGTTTATTTTTTCTCTATTTTGTACAACTGCAGCTGTGTCATACATACTATTGTGCACTTTTTAGGATAATCCCTTCCCCACCCCAGTTTCTTGGAGCTCTTAGAGAACTCCCTCATTGTTGTTTTAGAGATCCATACTATCCTGTTATATTGATGTACTCAAATTTATTTAATTTCTTCACAACAGTTTGCTCTTATAAAACACGGAAATGGATTGATCCTAAATATATTGAAACTAAATAAATGTGGTTGAACCTAAATATAATATTAACATAAAGCCGTATGACCCCTATAAGCTATTTGGTATATCTGTTTTGTATATATTGGCCATATGGGGTGATACCAATGTGTACCCCAAGAGTAATACAGATGCTCCTCAATTTACCATGAGGCTATGTCCTGATAAACCCATGATAAGTTGAAAATATCACAGGTTGAAAATGCACTTAATAACACCTAACTTACCAACCATCATCGCTTAGACTAGCCTACCTTAAATGTGCTCAGAACACTGACATTAGCCTACAGTTGGGCAAAATCATGTAACACAAAGCTTACTTTATAATAAAGTACTGAATATCTCATGTAATTTATGGAATACCATACTGAAAGTGAAAAGCAGAATAATTTCACACCATAGTGAAATTGAAAAGTCCCAAGTCGAACCATCGTTCAGTGGGGGACTGTCCATATATGAGAATGAGATTCCCCACAGTCTTAATAAACAGAGGGTCATGGCTTGACTTTTAATGACTGTGTCATGCTCCACTGTGTGGACATACCAGATTTATTTGTCTAGTCCCCTGTGTTTGAAAACTTGGATTGTTTTATTTTTCCATTCTTACGAAAAACAGCACAAGTATTTAGGTACTCTTGGTGGTTAAGCTGAACAAGGGAGATGGCTCAGTGGCAGCCCTCATCAGAGATAGTATGTCTGTCACTGCATTGCTACCTCTGATGAGGACTGCAGGTATCCAGTGGATTCCCCCAAGCAGGTATCCAGTGGATTCTCCTGAGGGACAGCTATCTTGTAACAGAGAGCTGACTGTGGAAAGCTATCTCCTTCTGAAACATTATTGCTTCAGACCCAAAGATGCAACACGTTGAATGCAGAGGTCATTATCTTTTTTCAGGTAACATCAAGATGTTGCCAACATTCACATAATGTTGTTCCCCAAAGGGCTCTTCTGGCCAGAGCCTTGCCACATTTTAGGGCTGGGGATTCTGAGCTGCACAGTCCAGAAATGTTAATGGAATTCTGAATGAAGCCTCTAATCTCTATGTCCTGCAGAGGGTTAACCAAGCGTGATGCCATGACTTTCTCAAGGTCAGAGTGAGGGTTGGGAGGTAGTACCCATGTATCCTGACCTCTTGCTCTGACCTTTAAGCAGGCGGCGTCCTTGGAACACATCGGGTGGGGCATGGCAGTAGAGATTGAAGCTGGCTGTAAAAGGCCACAGACAATTCAGAGAGAGGCATTTCCAGCCAACCCACTGATCTGGGCTCCAGGCAAGGGAGGGGCACAAACTGGAGAGAAGTCAACCAGCTGGAAGGAATTCAAGGAAATAGCAACAGGAAATCTGAAGGGGTGGAGAGATTGCTAGTGAGATTATCTAAATCTGCAGCTTTTGAGGCCAAGTGATAGCCATGTTTTCTCTCTAGCAGCCCTCAGCGGTGACAGCAAAGCCCATGCTGTGGCTTCAACACCTCTCCTCCTCTTTTTCTAACAAACAGGGTCTTTAGTGTCTTTCTAGGGGTGAGCATGGATGGGGCCAAAGATGGTCAGGCAGGAGAAATATATCCTCTTCCTCTCCTCTTCTGGGTTCCTGAGCTCTTGTCTGCTGAAGATAAGTCCTGGGGGAAGGAAAGGTCTTTAGACAGCAGAGCAGATGATGCAGAAAGAGCCCAAACATATGCACGGGCAAGACAAGCATAAAGTGATGATATTAGGGATCAAGATCCAATGGCAACAGGGAAGGGAGAAAAAAGCTGGGTGTGGGAGGAGCATTGTAGTTGAAACCAATAAGTGCAATTAGGTTTGTGTCACTTCCTACAGCCCAAGCAAGCTGTTTGTTGGTCATCTGTTAGAGGTGGCTGCCAAGATGCCATGTGCATTCCAAGATCCCTGGGTGCTGGCCCTTCCTATCTGCCAGGCCGAGAGAGGGACAATGGATGCCAGCTCTGGAAGTCCACTCAGCCATGTGTGGCCCACCTCTCTGGTATGCTCCTGGAAGCAGGGGTAGTTGGAATCAAGGAAATACAGCATCAGAAAGAAGTCTGAGCACCTGCTCATTGCTTTCCTTGCAATGGGGTTGAGAAGAAGCAGTTATAGGTGGATTGAATCAGGGGTTAATGGCTAGGCCAAAGGGAAGCCTGGTGCTCTCACCAACACACCAATGTCCATCTGTTGCTTAGCCCATCTGGGCATGCCCTGGGCAGGACCTGCTGCAGCTCAGAAAGCAGGAGCTTTTAGGGGACAGACTGCACCCTCAGGAATTGGCCTTGCCACTGCAGCCCACTTCAGACCTGACTTACTTCCTGCCTGATTAACTTTCCCATCTCCCACCCCAGCTCCTGCTGTAGCTGGTATGCCAATCGGCAAACCTGCTAATACTACAGTGCCCAGAAAAGTGGGTGCTCAAAAAATATTTGTTCATTTAAGAAAGTTATTAGCTAAGGCATCAATTAAATGCGACTTTAAAAAATCTCCCTAGAAGGAGTGTCTCCAGATTCTTTGGAAATCTACCCACATAGCTAGCTTGAGTTTTTTAGGGATCGGTGGCATATGTTCTTCTTTTAATGACAGTCAACAGTTTAATGATAGTCTCTAAACTTAATGCCAAGTGTAGGCTATGCATCAGGTTTACATGGTGGATTCAAACCTGGTCTGTGATTCAGAGGGAGATGGCTGTGCACAGGGAAGTCATATACCACATTGTGATAAGTACCCATATGCCCTGGGCTTCCTGGAATTTCAGAATCCTGATCATACCTATGTCTGTCGAGATAAGTGAGTACCCCATCTCATCAGATGCAAGGCTGCTAATGATCAGAGAGGCCAGGTAGGCATTAGTCAGACTGTGAAGGATTTAAACTTCACCTGTGTTGAATGAGGACTAGGAAAAAGCAGTTGGGCCTGGGCATCAGAGATCACTGTGACTTTATAACAGGTAAAGTCAGGGGGGTGAAGTGGTAGAAGTGAGAGTGAAATGAGGCTTGAGAAATGATTGGGAAGCAGAAGAATGATATGGCACGCCGCTTAGACTACCCATCAGAGTCTGGTGATGAAGGCAGACAAAGGAGTAATTTCTAGGGGAGGACGGGTCAAGGAAATACTTTGATTAGGATGGGGGAGGCCAGGCATAGTGTCTCACACCTGAAATCCCAGCACTTTTGGAGGCCAAGGCAGGCAGATTCTTTGAGGCCGGGAGTTCAAGACCAGCCTGGCCAACATGGCAAAACACCATCTCCACTAAAAATATAAAAATTAGCCAGGTGTAGTGGCACACACCCATGATCTCAGCTACTAGGGAGGCTGAGGCAGGAGAATCCCTTGAACCTGGGAGGCAGAGGTTGCTGTGAGCCGAGATGGCACCACTGCACTCCAGCCTGGGTGAGAGAGCGAAACTCTGCCTCAAAAAAAAAAAGGATGGGGGGAAGCTTTATTCTGTAGGTGAGAAGTCAGTGGGCAAGAGGGGTTTATAGTAGTGAAGAGAGACGGGTGCTAGATGGGTCCACATCCAAAAAGTAGATGGAAAAAAAAGGAGATAAAAGCTTGAGTGGAAGCTTTACAACCTTAGAAGAAAGAGAAGAGTTATTAATTCATGTAAGATGAAAAATAAACATGAGGTAAGTAGAATTGAAGACAGAGGGAAATAAGGGAATTTCTTCCTATTTCCCTAGCTCATCTGAGAGTTAGTCCATTTATACTGGGAGATTTGTGCTCTGGTCCCTTTGACAGGAGGTCCTGGATTAGTCTTGTTCGAGGAGGGACCCAAACAAGGTACTGATGAACAGATAGTCTTTCATGAAGGAGGCAGAGCACTTCCTATTTTCACCATTATGAGTTTTGGCTGAACTCAACTGCTCTACACACTTAATTTTGGCTGTCATAGCTAAATTTGGGGTCTGCTCCCCACTTCTTTTTTAGTAGGATGCAGCTGGGGAAAGGCAGCAGGCAACCTCCTTCATCTCCAGTTTCCCACATGTCTGAGAATTCAACTTGGTGGCCATGCCAAGATATGCTGGCTCCATGCAAGGATGCCTTGGGACAGTGTCCCAGAGACTGACGGAGCTTCCACATTTGGCTCCCTCTTAGCCGTTCCCATGAAGAGAGTCACAGAGCCTACAAAACTGCCACATATTTGAGGGCTTTCCAGTAGATTCCGTGGCCCTTTTGTGTTGGTGTCAATCCTTTAATGAGTTAATGCTGTGATGGAGCTCTAGCTTGAGCGTAGGGCCTCAGATTGAGGAGCAGCTGGGATGTTCCATGAAGATCGAGACCCGAGCTTCTGATTTTCAATAACTTTAAACGTTTAGGTATTTGCTGGTAGAATCTATGCTTAGATGGCTGTCGTCTTAAGCTCGATATGAACTCAGAGCTGTGATTGATGTCCTGTTGGGCACTGCCCTGATTTAATAACTAGCACGCCTGCCTTGGTTTCAGAATTCGGATCTGCTGAAGCTGCAGCCATCTCAGTTGGTGCTGGATCTCCAGCTCTCGCTTGATGTTTCCAGAGAGTCACAGGAGCCTGTGGAGTAATGACAATAAAACCCAGAAAGGCAGCCGCTCATCTATTTAACGAATACTTATTGAGCACCACTGTCTACCAGGTGGTGGCGGAGGTGCTGGGTACAGCACTGATGGAGACGCAAGGAGCCAGAGCTCTGCCCACTAGGGGACCAGATGATAAACAAACAAATAAGTCAGGAAGATAATTATCCGACGGCGGCAGTTCGAGCCATGAGAACTGAAACAGTGTGCTAGGCTAGAAGTGACTCCTTTCCACTGAGTGGTTGGAGAGCAAGCGTTCACAGACAGGTAGTGGCTGCTGTCATGGCTCTAAGGTGGCCCTGAGCTTGGAATGTTTCAGAAGAGAAGGAAGGGCATTGGGTAGAGTGGAGAGGGAATGCGGGGGGCGGGGAGCGGGGGTGGGGGCAGTGAAGATGTGCTCAGAGGGCTAGGCAGAATCAATTTCCGTAAGCAATGATAGAGTGCATTGGGCTGTTACTCTTAACTTGGGTTTGAAGCAGGGGAGGAACATCAAGGTTCCTACTTTACAGTTTTTTAAAGATGACTTGGGTTAGCCGACCATGTCCCAGAGTTGGGGTGAGGGATGGAAGAGAGGGGTGGGAGAAGAATGGAAGCTCAGTTTGGGAGACCCCTGCCCAGGTGAGAGAGCCTCGTGGCTTGAGCTAGGATGGTGCCAGCAGGATAAGGGGCAGAGGGTCTATTGCAGATGTGGACAGATTTGAGAATTGCTTGGGTGTTGAGTGGACACGATTTATTGATGGGCTTGGGAGCACTGCAGGAAAGAGTCATCAAGGAAAACTCCTGGGCTAGGGGCTTGAGCCGTTGAGTGAATGGGAATGCTGCTTACCACATAGGGACGCCCTGGGGAAGGTCAGATTCAAGGAGAAGAAGCAAGAGTTCTTTTCGGCTGTGTTACACGTGAAAGACCACTAGACACACAAGCAGAGATGCCAAGTAGGGGTTTGGACAACGATGCTGGATTTCACAAGTCAGATGATATCTGAGCATCCTTCAGATGAAATCACTGGAGCTCCACCCTGAATAGACATTCCGTCCTAAGGATGCTCAGAGTTGAGGTGGGCTGAAGTTATCTTACTCTTCTCCTGAAATCATCAGAGTTCTCGCTTTTGTTGAGGTGGGTCAATACAGACAGACTAAGCATCCTATATATGCCACTGCCCTTCTGAATCTTCATCCTGTATGTGAAACACGCCTTTTATGCAGTATTTTATGCCCCTGAAATCACTAATTTGTGGAATTGTGTGTGGAGCGGCTTTTGCTGTAATTTTAGCATTACGTGGGAAGTTTATGATGAATCAACACGAACTCCCATATAATACATGGTAGACATTTCTGCTCTAAAAGACCTCCAGCCACCCCACCAACAGGCCACCCCCAAGCTTATAGGCTCCCTTTTGTTCTCTCCTAAGTCACCTGAGTTCCTCTCCTCGGAGGAATTCAGCCACTACACTCTAAGGTCCAGAGCAATTTAGTTCTTTCCTTTCCCAGGTTGAGCCTACTTTTGAATTTACACAGACTAATTAATGTGCTCTGCTAAACAATGGGCCACCGACTTCAGGTGTAACTTCCAGCAGCACAAAGAACTGGTAGAAGCTTAAAATGATTCAGTCCTCTTTCATAGTCTCTGAGAAGCAGAGGCAGCAGTAAAAAGACTTATTTCTCACTTCTGTGAAGTCTGTCACCCCACCTTACAGAAGTGACTACAGTTGGATTCACAGTGCACATTTGTTTCCTCTGTGTTAACGTAATTATAGTGTAGCCACTCTATTTTCCAAGAGCTCCTTTTTTTCCCTATGCACTGTGCCAAATGATTTCCATATAGGATCTTATGCAATCCTACCACAACACTGTGCTATAGGACATCTTATGAGTCCATTTTGCAGATGAGGAGATTGAGGCTCAAAGAGGTTATACAGCCAGGGGCAGTGGAACCTGGGTGGGAGTCCAGCCCAATCTCTTAATGAAGCCACACAATGTCCCACAGGGATGTAGTGTGTAGATGCTCCCGCTGTGGGACTGTAGGCGTCATAATAATGTACTTCTTGGTGATAATTATATGAAGACAATTGCCATGGTGATGATAGCTGAGACTTGATGCTTACCTAATAGGTATTTTTTCTAAGTGTTTTACACATGCTAACACATTTGTATGCAAAACAATTGTATGAGGCAGGCTCGCTCTAGTATTATTATACCATTTTACAGCTAAGGAAACTGAGGACCAGAAATGTTAGGTAACTTTTCTAAGATCTCAGAGTGAAATGATTGGTGTAGGCTGGATTTGATCCCAGACAGTCTGGCTCCATGGGTCACGTTGAGTGGGGTTGGCTGGAGCTAAGAGGATTGGGTGAGGAGGCAATACAACCCACTGCTCCGCCCCCAGTGCAGAGATGTCTTAGTCACGGCCCTGAGAATTGATAAACGATAACCAGAACAAGGTGGGCTTTTCTGGACAGTGTTTCCCTAAATGACTACCCCACCCCTGCCCTAAAAAACAGAGCAGCGTGGCTCACACCTGTAATCCCAGCACTTTGGGAGGCTGAGGCGGGTGGATCACCTGAGGTCAGGAGTTCCAGACCAGCCTGGCCAACATGGCGAAACCCCATCTCTACTAAAAAATACAAAAATTAGCCAGGCATGTTGGTGGGCGCCTGTAGTCCCAACTATTCTGGAGGCTGAAGCGGGGAGAATTGCTTGAACCCAGGAGGCGGGGGTTGTTGTGAGCCAAGATTGCACCACTGCACTCCAGCCTGGGCAGCACAGCAAGACTCCATCTCAAAAAAAGAAAAAAGGCCGGGCATTGTGGCTCACGCCTGTAATCCTAGCACTTCGGGAGGCTTAGGCGGGTGGATCACCTGAGGTCAGGAGTTTGAGACCAGCCTGGCCAACATGGCAAAACCCCGTCTCTACTAAAAATACAAACATTAGCTGAGCG